>NT_187522.1:0-120616 GCF_000001405.40 Homo sapiens | reverse complement strand
GATCTTGTGAGAAGTCACTCACTGTGGTGAAGACAGCACCAAGGGAGTGGCGCTGAACCATTCATGAGAAATCCATTCCCGTGATCCAGTCACCTCCCACCAGGCCCCATCTCCAACACTGAGAATTACGATTTAACATGAGATTTGGTTGGGGACATATTGCCAAACTATATCAATGTTTTAGTTTGGATTTCATATCAGAGTAATTCTGATCTCATAAAATGAGCTGGAAAGTAGTCCCTCCTGTTCAGTTTCTTGGAAGAGTATGTGTAGATAGTATTATTCTTTCCTTATGTTTGGAGATTCACCAGTGAAGCCATCTGGCCTTGTAGTTTTCTTTGTGGGAAGGTTTTTAACTGTGAGTTCAACTTCTTTACTAGATGTAGGGCTATTCAGGTAACCCATTTTTTCTTGAATGAGCATTATTTGTTTGTTTCTCTCAAGGCATTTGTCCATTTCATTTGAGTTGTCAAATTTATTGCCATAAAAATATTTGGAATATTTTCTATTATCCTTTTAATATCTGTAGAGTATGTAGTGCTGTCTTCTCTCATTCCTGATACTGATAATTTGTGTTTTTTCTCCCTTTCCTGAGTCTGGATAGAGGCTTATCAATTGTATTGATCCTCTCAAAAAACTTTAGGTTTCATTGATTTTTCTCTTTTTCTATTTTTTGTTTCATTGGATTCTGCTCTGACATTTATAATTTGTCTTCTTTTACATGTTTTAATTTGCTCTTTTTTCTAAGTTCCCTAGTTGGAAGCTGAAGTCACTGATTTGAGTTCTTTCTTTGTCATTATTATTATTATTATTCTAGAAACAGACATTATTATTATTATTACTTTGCTCTGCCACCCAGGCTAAAGTGCAGTGGTGCAATCATAGCTCACTGCAGTCTTGAATGCCTAGGCTTAAGCAGTCCTCCCACTTCGGCCTCCTGAGTAGCTAGGACTACAGGTATGTGCCACCATGCCAGGCTAATTTTTTTTTTTTTTTTTTTTTTGAGACAGAGTTCCGCTCTTGTTGCCCAGGCTGGAGTGCAATGGCACAATCTCGGCTCTCCGCAACCTCCGCCTCCTGGGTTCAAGCAATTCTCCTGCCTCAGCCTCCTGAGTAGCTGGGATTACAGACATACGCCACCATGTCCAGCTAATTTTGTATTTTTAGTAGATACGGGGTTTCTCCATGTTGGTCAGGCTGGTCTCAAACTCCTGATCTCAGGTGATCCTCCTGTCTTGGCCTCCCAAAGTGCTGGGATTACAGGCATGAGCCACCGCACCCGGCCTGCCTAATTTTTTTTTTTTTTTAATTTTTTGTAGCGTTGGAATCTCACCAGGTTGTTCAGGTTGGTCTTGAACTCCTGGCCTCAAGTGATCCTCCCTCCTCGGCCTCGCAGAGTGTTGTTTTTCTTTCCTTAGTACGGGGGTTTAGTGCTGTAAATTTTCCCCAGAGTACTGCTTTAGTGGCTTCACACAACTTTTGATAATTTCGATATACTTTTTATTTTCATTTCATTTTAAATACATTCTAATTAATTTACTTTTTAATTTTATCTTTGACTTGTGTGGATGTTTTGTTTTGTTTTTAGATATTTGTTAGTTTCCAATTATTTGAGGATTTTTCTAGATTTTTTTATTTGTTTCTAATTTATTTCTGGTGTAGTCAGAGAATAAACTTTGTATAATTTGAGTCTTCGTAAATATATTGAGACTTGTTTTATGGTCCAGAATGTTATCTGTCTTGGTGAATGTTTCATGTGAGCTTGAGAAGAATGGGTATTCCATTGTTGTTGAATGAAGTAATCTATGAATGCCAATAAGAACAGTTGATTGATGGTATTATTCAGATCAACTATATCTTTACTGATTTTCTGCTTGCTGGATGTCAATTACTGTTAGTATTGAAATTGCCAACTGTAATAGTGGATTTGTCTATCTTTCTTTGCAGTTCTATCAGTGTTAGCCTCACATATTTTGATGCTCAGCTGTTAGATAAATATGTGTTTAAGATTGTTATGTTCCCTTGGAAGATTGACCCATTTATTATTATATAATGTCCCCCTTTATCTCTGATGATTTTGCTGTTTTTAAAATTAAGATAGCTCCCTTGGCTTCTTCCCCTCCCTCCCTCCCTCCCTCCCTTCCTTCCTTCTTTCCTTCCTTCCGCCCTCTCTCCCCTCCTCTCCTCCCCTCTCCTCTCCTTTTCTCCCCTTCCCCTTCCCCTTCCCTTCCCTTCTTCCTTTTTTGACAGAGTATTGCTCTGTCACCCAGGCTGAAATGCAGTGGTGCCATCATGGCTCACTGCAGCCTCAACCTCTCAAGCTCAAGTGATCCTCCCATCTCAGCCTCCCAGGTAGCTGGGACTACAGGTGCACACCACCACAACTGGCTAATTCATTTTTATTGTTCATAGAGGTGGGGTCTCCCTATGTTGCCCAGGCTGCTTTTGAACTCCTGGGCTCAAGTGATCTTCTTGCCTTGGCCTCCCAAAATGCTGGAATTACTGACATGAGGCACTGTCTCTGGCCAGCATTTTTTTGATTTGTGTTAATATGGTATATCTTTCTCCATTCATTTACATTTAACCTATTTGTGTCTTTTTATTTAGAGAGGGCTTCTTGTAGATGACATGTATTATAGTTAGTTTTTTTAATCCATTTCGATGGTTTCTTTCTGTTAATGGTATATTTAGATCATTCATGTTTAAATTGGTTATTAATACAGTTGAATTAATGTCTACCATATTTGGGACTGTTTTCTATTTGTTGTGCTTGTTCTTTGTTATTGTTTTTTTTTTTTTTTTTTTTTTTTTTGAGACAGAGTCTCACTCTGTTGCCCAGGCTGAAGTGCAGTGGCACGATCTTGGCTCACTGCAAGCTCCACCTCCTAGGTTCATGCCATTCTCCTGCCTCAACCTCCTGAGTAGCTGGGACTACAGGCACCTGCCACCACGCCCAGCTAATTTTTTCGTATTTTTAGTAGAGATGGGGTTTCACTGTGTTAGCCAGGATGGTCTCGATCTCCTGACCTCGTAATCCACCCTCCTCGGCCTCCCAAAGTGCTGGGATTACAGATGTGAGCCACCGTGCCCGGCCTATTGTTGTTTTTAAATATTCCCCTCTTTTTCTGCCTTGTCTGGTTTTAATTGAACATTTTATATGATTCTGCTTTCTCTCCTCTTAGCTTATCATTAAAAAAAAATTTAGTGGTTGCCTCAGAGTTTACAGTATACATTTACCCAATAACTGAGTGTTCCCAATTCCTCCCTCCCATCTCTTACAATGTTGCTGTTATTTATTTTATTCTCCATATGTTATAATCACCTAATACATTGTTACTGACATTACTTTGAATAAACAGTTATCGATTAGATCAATGAAGAACAAAGAAATAAAAGATTTTAGTTTTCTTCTTATTTCTGTTCTCTCTTTCCACTTTACTTAGATCTGAGATTCAGACCTATATAATTTTCTTTTTCATTTGAAGAACTTCTGTAAACATTTATTTGCAAGGTAGGTCAGTCTACGGGCGACAAATTCTTTTCATTTTTGTTTGTCTGAGAAAGTCTTTATTTCTTCTTCACTTTTAAGGGATAATTCTGCTGGATACAGATTGCTAGGTTGGTAGTTTTTTTTTTCTTGCTTGCTTGTATAGTTTCTGAGGAACGGTCTGATGTAATTCTTTTTCTTTTTTCTTCTATAGGTTAGGTGCATTTTTTCCTTTGGCCTTTTTCAAGGTTTTCTGTCTTTTGCTTTCTGCAGTTTTAATATGATATGCCTAGGTACAGATATTTTGGCATTTATCCTGCTTGGTGTTCTCTCAGTTTCCTGGATCTGTGTGGTGTCTGTCATTAATTTTGGAAAATTTGTGGACAGTATTTCAAATATTTATTCACTTTTTTCTCTTCTACTTCTGTTATACCATTTATACATATGTTACATCTTTTATAATTGTTCCACAGTTCAGGGCTATTTTGTTCTCCCCCAATCCCTGCTCCCCATGGACATGTCTTCAAGCTTGCTGATTCTTCCTTCACAATTGTGAGTCAATTAAACTTCTTTCCTTTATAAATTACCCAGTCTTGGGCAGTTGTTTATAGCAGCATAAGAACGGACTAATACAAAGGGCTCTATGGAAAAAGTAGACAACATGCAAGAACAGATGGGTAATATAAGCAGAGAGAGGGAAGCTCAGAGAGAGTCAAAAGAAAATGCTGGAGATCAAAATCACTCTAACACAAACAAAGAATACCTTTTTTTCATTGTATTGCCTTTGGTCCTTTGTCAAAGATCAGTTGATCTATTTTTCTACTATTTCACCAGTGTCTCAGTCTTGACTACTATAGCATGATAGTAAGTCTTGAAGTCAGGTAGTGTCGGTTCTTCAACTTTGTTCTTCTTCAATATTGTGTTGGGTATTCTGGGTCTTGTGCCTCTCCAGATAAACTTCACAGTCAGTTTGCTGATATGTGCAAAATAACTAGCTGGAACTTTGAATTGGATTGTACTGAACCTATAGATTAAGTTTGGAAAAATGGACATCTTAACACTACTGAGTCTTCCTATTCATGAACTTGGAATTTCTCTCCATTTGTTTAGTTTTTGATTTGTTTCATCAGAGTTTTGTAGTTTTCTTGTAGATCTTATGCATATTTTGTTAGATTCATACCTAAGCATTTCATTTTTGGGGGTGCAAATGTATATGGTTTTGTGTTTTGAATTTCAAATATCACTTGCTGTGTTTCTGGTATATAGGAAAGTGATTAACTTTTGTGTATTAACCCTGTATCCTGCAAACTTGCCATGATTGCTTGTTAGTTCCAGGAGCTTTTCTTTGTTGATTCTTTTGGATTTCCTACCTAGACAGTGATACCATCTGCGAGCAAAGGGAGTTTTATTTCTTCCTTTCTAATCAGTATGCCTTATATTTCTTCATATTGCATTAGCTAGGACAGTCTCAGTCTTGTAGTCAGCCTGTGCCTCTGGGCTGTGAACTTCACCAGCGTTTCTCAGACTCCCTCCTTTAAGTGGGACATGATGGCTGGAAGCAGCTGGACTTGGGGTTTCCCTTCCTCTCCTGTCTTAGTCAGCTCAGGCTTCCATAAGCAAATACCATAAACTGGGTGGCTTAAACAACAAACATTTATTTCTCACAGTCTGCAGGCAGGGACGCCCAAGGTCAGGACACTGGCAGCTTTGGTGTCTTGTGAGAGCTGCTTCCTGGTTTATAGACGACTGTGTTTTCACATGGTGGGTGGGTAGAAGAAGCAAGCTCTTTTGGGACTTTTATAAGGACACTAATCCCATTCATGAGGGCTCCACCCTCATCACGTTATCTAATCCTAATTACCTCCCAAAGACACCACCTGCTAATACCACCATATTAGAGGGTAGGGTTTCAGCCCATGGACCCGGGGGAGGGGGATCATAGTATTCAGTCCATAACATGGAGTTCCGAAGGGGCTGGAGTTTCGTGTTTCCCTTCACCCAGGTCAGGCTCTCATGAAAGCCCAGCAGGCTGGGATCTGGCTGGCTGAGCTCTCCTGAGTTGAGGCCTTCATAAGAAGAGATTTCAGATGTATCCTGATAGACTTCAGAATGGCCCCCTTTCCCTCCCTCTGCCAGAAGCACAGGGAATTTTCCCTGATACTCACTGTTGGGACCCAGTAGAGCTTTTGCAGGTAAAATTTACAAAAGTGTGAGGCCCCTGATGACTGGGTCTGGAGTTTTTTTTAGCTCTCAGACTTGTCTACACTGAGCCCCCAACTGGTCAAGTACAGTTTGGGTTTCTCGACCCCAGCCCTGCTTCCCATAGGGGTTTCTGCTCTGGTTAGGTGTGGATCTTTCTGTCTGCCTGTCTCTCCAGTGTGAGGGGCTGTGGTTTGCTCTGTGACTTCGCTTCTCTTACAGATTTAAAAAGAGTTGGTTTTTCAGTTTGTTCTGCTTTTACTTGATAGGATGGAGTGGTGGCTTCTAAGCTCTTTAGAAAACATATGCAGGTGAACAAACAATATAAACATACGCAGGTAAACTGACAATACAAACATACACAGGTGAACCAACAATGCAGACATACACAGGTGAACCAACAATACAAACATAGGTGAACCAACAATGCAAACATACTCAGGTGAACCAACAATACAAACATACACAGGTGAACAGACAATACAAACATACACAGGTGAACAGAAAATACAAACATACACAGGTGAACTGACAATGCAAACATACTCAGGTGAACCAACAACGCAAACATACGCAGGTGAACCGACAATACAAACATACGCAGGTGAACCAACAATGCAGACATACACAGGTGAGCCAACAATAGAAACATACTCAGGTGAACCAACAATACAAACATACACAGGTGAACAAACAGTACAAACATACACAGGTGAACAGACAATACAAACATACGCAGGCGAACAGACAATACAGACATACACAGGTGAACCAACAATACAAACATACGCAGGTGAACCGACAATACCAGATAGAACTAAGAGCAGAAGAGCTTAAGGATGTGGAAATTGTTCAAAAATAGATCTGTCGTGTGAGTTCCTTTTCTCTATGTCAAATGATTCTTCCTGGTTAGAGTCCACATATTGTCTTTATTTCTCACTGAGTGCCCTACAGTTCATTAGATTCTGGTGGATGTAAATGGTGTGACTCTGACGTGGAAGTTGAGATGAGCCAGCCTCTTCTCAGCCACGTTTTATCTCACATAACAGAGGCTGGCCTGCTGCTGATGTTGTAAGTTACATTAGCTTCATCATTGCTGTTTTCTGGAATTACTTCTCTCCTGGTATAAAACCCTCTTGCTGATACCGGCTTATTCTTTGTTTTTCTAAAATAACCTTATTTTCTGACGATCTTGTGATTGCCACTGGTTTCCTCAGTGTTAGGTCGTGTGTTTGTAGCGGAATCCTACGCAGTGGTGTTGTGAGTAAGCGTGTCCGAGGGCCCCTCACTGCTGATGTCAACGTGCCCTGGGTGAAATCGGCGTCCGTCAAGTCTCTCCATGGGGAAGTTCCTTTTCTTTTCCTCTGTAACTAGTAAGAAATGTGTGGAAAGTTACTTTTAGACCATGAATATCCCATTTCCCCTCAAACTTTCACTCAACGTTTTTCGTAAGTCGTGATGATTCCTGCCTTTGTGGGCTGTGACTGTCATGGCCGTGCAGTGGCGCTCACCCGGGGGTTGGTTTTCACTGTCAGGAGGCATGTCCCCCTCTTCTCTGTTCACTCGGCATCCACTGGGGCTGGAGGCCTTCTTGTCTCACTTGTTGGTCTAGGGTCTATTCTTGCTGGGATTTATGTTGATCTTCACGTTGTCCCAGACCTCAGGCTTGGCAAGCAGCAGCCTCGTTAGCTGACTTCTGTCCCCTGGCGCATCCCCAGCCCATTACTTTCTGGACCTACAGCGTGTCCAGGCCCACCTCCTGCTTTTCCTGACCTTGTGCGGGGTCAGCTGCTCTTCCTGGCACTTAGCCCTGGCACTTAGAAACTCGGATGGGAGTGCCCTGCAGAGTCGCTGTGCTCAGGTGCTTTCTGTGGACGGGATGAGTACCATGCGAGTGAATGCACGTGTGTGAGTGTGTACGTGTGTATGTGTGCATGTGAGTGTGTGAATGTAGGCGTGTGTGTGTACGTGTGCATGAGTGTGAATGCACACGTGTGAGTGTACGTCCGTATGTGTGCATGAGTGTGAATGCACTCGTGTGTGTACGTGTGCATGTGTGTGAATGTGCGTGTGAGTACGTGTGTATGTGTGCATGTGTGTGAATGTGCGTGTGAGTACGTGTGTATGTGTGCATGTGTGTGAATGTGCGTGTCAGTGTGTATGTGTGCATGTGTGTGAATGCACATGAGTGAGTGTTACGTGTGTGCATGTGTGTGAATGCACATGAGAGAGTGTTACGTGTGTGCATGTGTGTGAATGCATGCATGTATGTGTGCATGTGAGTGTGAATGTACGCATGTGAGAGCGTGTACGTGTGTGTGCGTGTGTAGGTTTGTGTGTGAATGCTAGCATGGGAGTGTGTGTGCTTGTGTGACAGTGCGCCTGTGTGAGTGTGCATGTGTCCCTGTGTGTGTGACAAGTAGTTCAAACAGACACCTCTAATTCCAGTTACATCCACAGGGCTTTCCTTTGCCTTCCTCATCAGTATTTGTATCTTTCCTCTCACTGTGAGAGGCCTGGCTCCCAGTCATATCAATGTTTTTTCCCATCCTCTCAATCCCCACAACACACACAACAGCATCAGCATGGCAGCACCCAGACCATGACAAGCAGCAGGCCTACTGAGTGCAACCTAAGCTTGGGTTGCGGTTTTTCTGTCTTAGCCTGAGGATGTAGTCAAAATAATATGTTCAAGAGTTATTTCCGTTTGTCGCCGTGTGCGGTGGCTCACGCCTGTAATCCTAGCACTTTGGGAGACTGAGGTGGGCAGATCACCCAAGGACGAGAGTTCGAGGCCAGCCTGACCAACATGGAGAAACCCCGTCTCTACTAAAAATATAAAATTAGCTGGGTGTGGTGATCATGCCTGTGACCCCAGCTACTTGGGAGGCTGAGGCAGAGAATTGCTTGAACCTGGGAGGCGGAGGTTGAAGTGAGCCGAGATCGCGCCATTGCACTCCAGCCTGGGCAACAAGAGTGAAATTCCGTCTCAAAAAAAAAAAAAAAAAAAGAGCTATTTCCGTTTGTCTTTTCTTTCTGTGTGGCTATGAATAGACTGATTTCAAATTTAAGGTTTTCCTCCTAATCTTGTTTTCATTTTATTTATGATTTTGTAACACATAACAAGGTAGGCTGGGGGCAGTGGCTCATGCCTGTAATCCCAGTGCTTTGGGAGGCCAAGGCAGGAGGATCACTTGAGGCCTGGAGTTTGAGACTAGCCTGGGCAACATAATAAGACCCTGTCTCTAGAAAAAATTTTTTTAAAAAATTAGCCAGGTATGGTAGTGCACGCCTGTAGTCCCAGCTACTGGGAAGGCTGAGGCAGGAGGATCTCTTGAGCCCCAGAGTTTGAGGCTGTAGTGAGTCATGATTGTGCCCCTGCACTCCAGCCTGAGCAACAGAGTGAAACCCTGTCTCTGTGTGTGTGTGTGTGTGTGTGTGTGTGTGTGTGTGTGTGTGGAGCGGGAGGTGTGGAGATATGAACAGTGCAGGCAGAATCAGATTATAAGGGCACAGTCTTGGTGAAGGGGGTATGGATATTTACTGTAAAATACTCTCAATGTTTTTGCATACTTGAATATTTTTATTATAAAATATTAGGAAGAAAACACTTTCAGAAAGACACAAAAGTCAGACCAGGCGTGGTGGCTTCCACCTGGAATCCCAGCACTGTGGGAGGCCGAGGCAGGTGGATGACCTGAGGTCAGGAGTTTGAGACCAGCCTGGCCAACATGTTGAAACCCCATCTCTACTGAGAATACAAAAATTAGCTGGGTATAGTGGTAGGTACCTGTAATCCCAGCTACTTGGGAGGCACGAGAATCGCTTGAATCGGGGAGGCGGAGGTTGCAGTGAGCTGAGATTGTGCCACTGCACTCCAGCCTGGGCAACAGAGCGAGACTCCACCTAAAAAAAAAAATACACAAAAGTCAATGTGAAGACATAGAAAATGCTTGTGGAGTCTGTGCCTGCCTCCCTGCAATGTCCACTGGCTTCTCACTCACCCTGTGTGTTGTGATTTCATGACTGCTGTGTGCAGCACACTGGGTGGGTGTGAGCATGGGGCCAGGGTGTCTTTGGGGCAGTCTCGTTGTGTGAGGTTGGGCCAGTGACTTAGCCTCTCTGTGCCACCATTTCCACATCTGTAAAACGGGGCTGATAGAGCAGCCACCTCGTGGGGCCGTGCGGGTTGGGTGAGTTGGCCTGTGTGAAGTGTTCAGAACCTTTGCTTCAGGTCTGTTCACTTTCAGTTACTGCCCATTTGTTGACAGGTTTCATAAAATATTCTAGCTCTGGCCCTTGTACTGTTAGGAAAATAATTCTTAGCAAGTGTAGTTTCATTTTTATGGAGAGAAGTCCCATTCACCTCAGCTCTGGCCCACCAAAGGCTCAGGCTGCTGAGTGGGTGGGTGTGAGCTTGCGTGACAGGTCTCTGGTAGACTCACAGGAATGTTCCTTCTGCACTAGATTAAGATGTTCTACGAGGAGCATTTGCACTTGGACGATGAGATCCGCTACATCCTGGATGGCAGTGGGTACTTCGATGTGAGGGACAAGGAGGACCAGTGGATCCGGATCTTCATGGAGAAGGGAGACATGGTGACGCTCCCCGCGGGGATCTATCACCGCTTCACGGTGGACGAGAAGGTGGGAGTGCTGTGCTTTCTCCCCAGGCCCGGCCTGTGTGGTGGCCCTGGCCGTGGCATCTCTGCCGCTGAACTGCGCGGCTTCCGCAGACTCCAAGCGCGGTCGCTGGGCTCGGGACTCCTCGACCTGTGCTTCAAGGAGAGTCTGTGGAGCCGCAGGCGATGTCCGAGGTGACAGCTGTCCTTCCGTGGCAGCCTCCGTGGCCCCTGCCTGCGATCCTGGTGGACAGGTGTGCATTTCATACCCAGGCGGGGCAGGTACAGGCGGCGGCAGGTACATGCGGCGGCAGGTACACACCCACGAGCCTGGCCCTGCCCCAGCCCTTGCTTGGCGGTGAGGCATCTCTAGGGTTGTCACCCCAGCCCGTGTTTGGTGGTGAGGCGCCTGTAGGGTTGTTATGTTGCCATACTGTCACTTTTAAAAACATTTCAGTTTTGGAATTGAACAGTAACGCAGTCCAGTCAGGATTGGCAATAAACACAGATAAGGTAGTTTTGGGGTTCACTGGAGGCGATTGGGGTAATGCTGATTTAAGGGTAATTTTTGAATAAATACTAAATGCACATGGTTTAAAATTTAGAAATATGAAAGGGGACCTGGTGAAAGGTCTCCCTCTGACCCCTGTTCCCAGCCTCCCAGTTTCTCTCCCTGAAAGTAACCAGTATTCCACTAAAAAAATTATTTTTAGAGTGACTTTACACATATCCAAGTGCATGTCAGTCAGGATTCTTTTTTTTTTTTTTTTCTTTGAGATGGAGTCTCACTTTGTCGCCCAGGCTGGCATGTAGTGGCTTGATCTCGGCTCAATGCAACCTCCACCTCCCAAGCTCAAGCGATTCTCCTGCCTCAGCCTCCTGAGTAGCTGGGATTACTGGGGCACACCACCACGCCCGGCTAATTTTTGTGTTTTTAGTAGAGACGGGGTTTCACCATGTTGGCCAGGCTGGTCTCAAACTCCTGACCTCAGGTGATCCACCCACCTTGGCCTCCCATGGTTCTACATTTTACTTTTTTCTACATGATGTTCACTGGGGACTGTTTCATTTCAGTGTCTACAAGCCTCAGCCCTGATTACAGCTGCACAGTACTCTGGCGCTGGACATGCTGTACTGTATTTAACCATTAATTTATTTCAGTGAGTCATTGACCCCCAACAATGAGTATATACATTGTTCTCAATTTTTTGCTCTTGTGAACAGGGCTGTAATAAATACCCTTACATGCTTGTCATTTTGCACTTCTGTGTGTTTTTCTGTAGGGTAAATTCCTAAAAGTAAAAACTGAATTAAAAGGCACGTGCGTTTTTAGTCTGGACGGATGTGGCTGAATTGTCCTCTCCTGCCCACCAGCAACATGTGGGCCCTGATGCTAATTCTTAGGAAAACTGTAGCCAAATGAGGCGGAGAGGAGGTGGAGGGTACATGGGGTTGGAGCCAGTGCTTTTCCTGACTGTGTGTCTCTATAGAGAGCACGGAGGTGCGGAGTTCAACACCAAGCCTCAGCTCCAGATGCTCTTACCTGGCACGTGAGGACAGGCAGGGCCAGCTGCACCACCTGATACAAATTTTCCTTCCACGAATAAAATGTGGCCTAAATTGTTAAAGACGCAGAATAAAAATAGCAAGTAAAGTGTTTATAGCAATTAATGTTAACAAGTTGATATGTTAATAAATACTAAGTAGAAGGCCGGCTGGTTTAATGAGATGCTGGGTGTGTTTGTCTGTTTTCCAGAACTACACGAAGGCCATGCGGCTGTTTGTGGGAGAACCGGTGTGGACAGCGTACAACCGGCCCGCTGACCATTTTGAAGCCCGCGGGCAGTACGTGAAATTTCTGGCACAGACCGCCTAGCAGTGCTGCCTGGGAACTAACACGTGCCTCGTAAAGGTCCCCAATGTAATGACTGAGCAGAAAATCAATCACTTTCTCTTTGCTTTTAGAGGATAGCCTTGAGGCTAGATTATCTTTCCTTTGTAAGATTATTTGATCAGAATATTTTGTAATGAAAGGATCTAGAAAGCAACTTGGAAGTGTAAAGAGTCACCTTCATTTTCTGTAACTCAATCAAGACTGGTGGGTCCATGGCCCTGTGTTAGTTCATGCATTCAGTTGAGTCCCAAATGAAAGTTTCATCTCCCGAAATGCAGTTCCTTAGATGCCCATCTGGACGTGATGCCGCGCCTGCCGTGTAAGAAGGTGCAATCCTAGATAACACAGCTAGCCAGATAGAAGACACTTTTTTCTCCAAAATGATGCCTTGGGGTGGGGAGTGGTAGGGGGAAGAGCTCCCACCCTAAGGGGCACACACTGAGTTGCTTATGCCACTTCCTTGTTCAAAATAAAGTAACTGCCTTAATCTTATACTCATGGCTTGGAGTTACCTTATATTCAGGTATATGTGATATTTTGCCTGGTTTGTTAAAATTGCCCCATTTAGATTCCTTCTATAATTGTTCTTATAGATAAGTAATTTATATATGAGCTGTGTTAGTATTTTTTCAGTGTGAGATCTCTGGATTCTTTCACAATAAAGCTGTTGAATTTTAACAGGAGTATTAGTACATAAATTTTCTACTCAACAATTCCGAGATAGGATTATGCCTAGTTTGTCATATCACAGAAAAACTCCAAGTTAACTTCATGTTTTGGAAGGGCAGGTCGTTTTTAAAGTATTTCTTTTTTTAACTGGATGAAAAATCTTCATGTTAGGATTAATTTTCTTAATCACCTCCACACTGTACAGAGGAAACTCAAGCCTTAAATGTTTAAGTAAACTCTGTCTCAGTTTTAGGATTAAAATACCCACCGGTGGTGTGATGATGCCATATACCGCAGGGCTTGCTTCTGTCAAGTGTGACTCTATCTCAGTAATTAAAATAAGTGCTGATCTACTGATTTTTTTTAATGGATTCATTTCTAAATGGGCATTATAAATAGAGCTTGTTCATTTTTAAGAACGAAACATTCATATGATAAACTATCGCTTTAAATTGCCTTTCTTGCTTCATATAACTTTTCCCTGTCAGGATCCTTAGTGTTTGAAACTCCTCGTGCGGGGCTGGCCTCCTGCGGACTCTAGTTTCGCCTCCTTGATGTGGCGCCTGGGATTTCTTCACTTCAGAGCTGTATTTTTACAGGCAAGAGTAAGTTCCTGGGCACAGTGGCTCATGCCTGTAATCTCAGCTACTCAGGAGGCTAAGGTGGGAGGATTCTTAGAGCCTGGGAGGTCGAGGCTGCAGTGAGCTGTGATTGTGGCCACTGCACTCCAGCCTGGGTGACAGAGCGAGACTCTGTCTCAAAAAAGAAGAAAGAGTAAGAGCTGAGGCATATAATAGAATTCTGCTAAAGCACTTAAGGTGAAATCACATTTTCTTTTCCCAGGATGTTGCTCACATCTTTCGTTTTTATTGAGGTGTCATTTATATACAATAAAATGTACTCATTTTCAGTGTTTTTGAATTTTGACAAATGCAGCATGACCTCAGGCAGAACAACATAGGACATTTTCATCACCCAAAGAAGGTTCTCATGCCCCTTCTTAGTCCCCCCACCCCATCCTAAGCAACCTATGTGGGTGGGTTTTGGCTTTTCTAGAATTTGATGCACGTGGAATCCTGCAGCATGTTCACGTTTGTATCCGGCGTCTTGCGTTCCTGCTTCTGTTCCCTGATCCCTACACTTACACTGTCTCCTGGGTCAGGGCAGCCCCTTGTTAGTATCTTAAACAATGGAACGGTTTGAGGAGAGCTCGAGGGTTGAAAAACACTAAGCGAGCGGAAATGTAATGTAGTAAGAAACAGAACTCTAGGCGGGGAGAAAACCTAGGGAGGTAAAAGGCTGTTCTTCCCGAAGGCATCACTGTAAAGTAGTGGGGGGGTCTCTCTTCAAGCCGAATGTTAGAGAAGACGGATCCTTGGCTGGGCGCGGTGGCTCACGCCTATAATCCCAGCACTTTGGGAGGCCGAGGTGGGCGGATCACCTGAGGTCAGAGGTTCAAGACCAGCCTGGCCATGATGGCGGGTGCCTGTAATCCCAGCTACTCAGGAGGCTGAGGTGGGAGAATTGCTTGAACCCAGGAGGCGGAGGTTGCAGTGAGCTGAGATCTTGCCATTGCAGTCCAGCCTGGGCAGCAGAGCGAGACTCTGTCTCAAAAAACAAAAAAAAGAAGATGGGTCCTTTATAAACACATTCGTTAGATTCTAAATCAGGTATTTTTTCCAAGGAGCCCAACTGTTAGTTTCCCAAGCGGGACAGCTGTTGGTTTTCACTGTGTCCAAGTTCGTCAATTTAGAGCAGGCTCTGCCTGCTTGCTGAGTAAGATATTCCTGGACATGTGTTATTTTTCAAGTGTGCCCTCTTTTTACAGGCACAGATGTATTTATTGCCATGGGGTTTATGACTGGGATATTAATAAATCAGAATATGAATTATCGCACTTGAGTATGGCTTCAAGCTGGTTAATGTGTTGGCATTTTCAAGACACTTTGATTTTTCCTGCCGTCTTCCTACTCGAGGTAGATACCGCACTGCAGACAGCACAGGCAACCTGGTGAGAGGCCTGCTCGCATTGTGGGGACTTCACGCTTGTTTCTAAGGAGTAGGCGTGGATAATCCAGGAAATGTCCAGCCTTGTTCTATCTTGTTCCAGATTCAACATCTTATCCCAATGAAGTCCTGGCCCCAGGACGCTCTCCCGGTTTGGAATAGCTGTTACAGGCTTCTTCATTCCTGCGGCGGCTCATTTCCCTATTTGGTTTTGTCCTCACTTCCGAAAAGTGAATAGGATCATCTCCTTTCTGATTTTTATTTCTCTTCTTGCCATCCATCTCTTCATCTTGTTAACTAAAAGATGACACAATCTATACATTTAGAAGAGGAGACATTCTTTCTTTTTCTTTTCTTTTTTTTTGAGATGGAGTTTCATTCTCGTCGCCCAGGCTGGAGTGGAGGGGTGTGATCTTGGCTCACTGCAACCTCTGCCTCCTGGGTTCAAGCGATTCTCCTGCCTCAGCCTCCCGAGTAGCTGGGATTACAGGCGTGCACCACCACACCCGGCTAATTTTTTTTGTATTTTCAGTGGAGATGGGGTTTCACCATGTTGCCAGGCTGGTCTCGAACTCCTGACCTTGGGTGATCCATCCGCCTGGGCCTCCCAAAGTGTTGGGATTACAGGTGTGAGCCACCATGCCCACCTAAAGACATTATTTCTTGTAAAGAGTTACACTCTGCAAGGTGGCATCCCGCAGGCTGGGAAGCACAGCCTCCCGCAGAGACCGCAGACAGGCATCTTGGAGGAGAAGGGGCAGGAGCTTTATGCTGAATGGGCTGGAGGATCATACATATTCAACAGGTTACAGGAGGAGCTGTGAATATTCATGAAGTGGTCCTGACGCATGTGTATTGAACAAACATCCACTTACATACAACCCATGTTCACCTTGGAGAGGAGACTTAACATCTACGTGCATCCCAGGCAGGCTCTGCACTTCTAAAGGTGAAACAGGGACATGAAGGCTCCCAGTGCTCAGCCTCTATCAGCCGGCCAGAGCCCATCCATGGGCTTATTCTTGTCCAGAGGAAGTTACTGAAATCGGTCTCTTGTTCCATCAAAGCTGTAGTTACGGCTGGTGGAACAGGGCCAGTTAGCCAGCATCGGGTGGTGGATAAACTACGACTTGTTTTCATCTTGCTCATCTCAAGGCCAACGCTGGTTTAGCTGCTGGAGAAGAAAACCTTGGTGGTGGTGAGGACAGAGTTTCTTATTTAGGTTCAGGGTGCGAGACTTCGCTGTAGCCTGGCCAGGCCTTAGGTCCTGTGTGTGATTTGTGTCTTATTGCCACAGTCTGTTCTCTGGTCTCACCATCTCTATTTTAACATGAATGCTGGCCAGTTGTGTCTAAATCCCAAAAGGGAGGGGGTATAGTGGGGTGTGTCTGACCTCCCGTCCATCGTGCCTGGGAACTCATTTTTTTTTTTTTTTTTTTTTTTGAGACGGAGTCTCGCTCTGTCACCCAGGCTGGAGTGTAGTGGCGCGATCTTGGCTCACTGCAAGCTCCACCTCCCAGGTTCACGCCATTCTCCTGCCTCAGCCTCCCGAGTAGCTGGGATTACAGGCGTCTGCCACCACGCCCGGCTAATTTTTTGTATTTTTATTAGAGACGGGGTTTCACTGTGTTGGACAGGTTGGTCTCGATCTCCTGACCTCATTATCTGCCCGCCTTGGCCTCCCAAAGTGCTGGGATTACAGGCTTGAGCCACTGCGCCCCGGCTGGGAACTCGTTTTTTAAGGTTGGCCAACGGGTTCCATTCAGTCAGTTGGGGGGCTCAAGATTTTACTTTAAATTTGCGATCCTTATCATTCAAGTGTAGAAGGAAGAATGGAGAGCCCGGTGAGACGCTCCGCTGGCCTCTGAGCAGCGACTGTCAGCAGATGCCCCTCCTTAGCCAGGGCCCCAGTGATGGTCTCTGTGTGTGAGCTGATTAAAAATGACGATAAAGAGGCCTCCGCTATCAGCTCATGACCCTGAACTCTCCATTTTAAAAAAGCCTAAATTGACCTCTTACAGAAGGGAAGGACGAAGAGAGACTCACTCCTCATCGGACTGGAACTAGGTGGAAGCAGGGAGGAGCTAGGCTCACAGTGACTGCGTAGCTCAGTTTATTTCCTGCAGTCCCCATTTCTGACATTCTGTCCTCTGGCCGTATATGTACAGACCACATATTCTAATGTTTGATTAGAAAATATAGCTACTAAATTCAATTCTTGCATCAAAATTGTATTTTAAAATATAAGCATGTTTAATACTGGTCTACAGAATGAGCTGGTTGCTTTGTTTGTACACAGAGCTCACATTAAGCCTCACGTCCAATCGTGGCTTCCGTCCACTGTGATGGGCGGATTCTTCCTAGGGGCCTCCCCTGGCCGTCTCTCACTGTGAACGCCACCCCTGTCTCCCGCCCACACCACTGCAACCTGCCTTACAAACTCCCCCGCTCTCCTTCCAGCCCAGCACAAGCTCAGGACGCCAGACGTCCACACTGCCCAAGCTGCTGTGGTTCACCCAAGACTTTGGAGGAAATATTCCTTCTTAAATTTGTGTCAATAAGCCAGACAGCTTTCCAGCTCCTTAGAAGTAGTTATCCTGTGGAGTGTGGACTTCATTCTTTACCTCCTTAAATTAAGATGAAATTTAGAAAGGCAAACCGGGCTGCAGTGGGCACCTGACTGCACAGAGTGGCTGCTGATTTGCTGATTTGCAGGAGATTAAACCCAATCCGAGATGGAGGGGGTCTCATTTCTGCGCTTACATCGTCATGCATGTGGTTGGACTTGTGTGCATGCGTGTGGACCTGCGTGCCTGTGTGTGCACGTGTGCTTCTGCGAGCTCTTCAGAGAGCCTGTAGAGGCTGGTGGTTACGAACTGAGGGATGTAAATGAGCCACTGTGGGCTCCATGACCTTTCTTTCCCTGCCTGTCCCCCAAGGAGGGGCGTGTGAGGTAACCACTGCAGACGTTTTCCTGCGTGTCCACAAGGAGATCGTCTGGTTCTATTGATGGAGGTGTTTTCCCTAGTTCTGTGGTGAAGTTGGCAGCTTCAGACATTTTGTTCTCATGACGCAGCTCTGACAACTAAGATGGGCTCCCCTGCCTCGGCCGGGCTCCTCGGTTTCCCGAGAGTGAGGCCTCTGTTGGTCGATCGTGTTACCGGGTGGCTGTGAGTTACGCAACTCACGAAAACATCTCATCCGGATGGGCATGGGGCGGGAGGGTGACCCCAGGAGCTATGAGTAACTTCCCAGCATGCCGGCTTCTTGCGCGTTCCCAGAGCCTGGTGTGTGATACCCCAGGTGGGCGGGTGGATGGCTGGAGTCTGGTTCTAGTCACACAGACCAAGAATGCGACATTTAGATGTGATCTAAAAACAGCCATTTTTCCAAAAGCTGTTTACTTTGGAAAGTGTATCAGGCAGCAGTTTCTGGAGACCTGTAATCGTTTTATGATTTATGCAGTGAAAACCTAATTACAAAAAGGACGGGCGCGGTGGCTTACGCCTGTAATCCCAGCACTTCAGGAGGCCGAGGCAGGAGGATCACTTGAGGAGTTTGAGACCAGCCTGGCTAACATGGTGAAACGCCATCTCTACTAAAAATACAAAAATTAGCCGAGCAGGGTGGTAGGCACCTGTGGTCCCAGATACTGAGGTGCTGAGGTGGGAGGATCACTTGAGCCCGAGAGGCATGACAGGTGTGTACAGGGGCTGAGCGGCAGGTACTTTCTGAATCTCAAGGGAAGACCTGCAGCCCGTGGGCACTTCACGGGCCATGGATGGAGCGCCTGTTGTCAGCGGCGTGGGAGAACTCTAGGGATGGGGCTGTGCTGAGGCCAGCGGCCTGCAGGTGCACGGCCAGTGAGCTGGGCTCTTTCCAGCAACACCTTCAGGAGACTCTGGTGGTTTCTTTTCTCCCTCATTCTCTGACAAAGAAGACGCTGGGATGCGCCATGCATCCCACATCTGAGAAATGCTTGCCTCCTGTGTGCTGGACACTGGGCCAGGCGCTGGCGAAGGGATAGGGTGGTGGAGCCAGTTTATCCTGAAAGTCCCTTTGCACACATCTCTTATTACATGTGTGTTGAGACCGAAAATAAAGTCTGGAACCAGGGTGTCACAGATGAGGGTCACAGACACACAGCAGATATAGCATGGTGCTCCCAGCAGAGATGGAGCTCCCAGCAAAGATGCAGGAGAGCATGTACAGTCCCTGGACTCAGCCTATGTGCAGCAAGAAATTCATTAGGGGATCTCTGGCCCCGGGTGCCACCTGGGAGCATGTGTGTGCAGGGCCACCTGGCCAGCGAGGGCCCTAGGATGGCCTGACCCGTCAGGGATGCTGACAGCAGGGCTGGCTCAGTCACCGAAAGGGGAAACAAAGGCTCTCCGGGGCCTCCCTGGGGCTTGCACCATCCTGAGGTCTTCAGACCCCCTTGGAGACGGAAGGGAGGTGGCCGAGTGGCCTGTGGCGTGGGGCTCCTTTGCTGTTCCTTGCAACTTGGGGGTCTCTGACTCTTGGAGCTGGGTGACAGGTGGGGATTTTTGCTCCTCTAATGGTCTTTGGATGATAAACTCCCAACTGACGCTCCAGGCTGGTGTCTTTACAATGCATGCTCTGAGGAAAGCTAGTCTGTGAAGCCATGCATTGAAAGGGTTCTATTATGGGTTGGGAGTCTGAGTCCCTCTTGGGGAGAGCCGTCGTGCAGGGAGCAGCTGGAGGCCTCGGGGCTGTGCTTAGCTTTGCTTCCCCAGCTTTGCTGACCCCAGTGAGCTCTTTCCCACGTGGTACCTGTCAGCAGTGCAACGGGAAGTTCTGTGTGTGTTAAACCACACAGGGGGTTCAGAGCTATCCCCAGGGCAGACCTGGAGTTTTTTCTGGTGTTCCTTAAAAGCATCTGATGAATATTGGGATGAATTTCCTGAAGAACTTGGAGGAGACTTTCTCCTTTCTGAAAATTAAACGTTCAGATCAGCACATGATAGGAATCTGGGTGGTGGAGGAGAAGATGTGGGTCAGTCTCCCCAGTGCCCCAAATCCAGTGAAATGACAACAATTTTTTAAAAAATTAAGTGTGTTGTTTTAAAAAATACAACCACAAGTTTCTGACGATCTCCCTCAATTTATCCTCCCCTTCAGCATGGTCTCTGTTGGTCACTTGTTTCTAATGAGTAGGAAGCGGCTGAGGTGGCTGTGGGTGGCCTCTGTTGGCATGTAGTTTCCTGCTTGCTCTCAGACATTGCGCTCTGGGGAAGCTGGCTGCCACGTCCGCAGGACACTTGTGCAGCTCTCTGGGGAGGTCTGAGGCCTCTGCCAGCAGTGCTGCTGGCTCGGGGTGTGTGGAAGCAGGTCCTCCAGCCCCCGTTGAGCCTTCAGATGATGCAGCCCCAGCCGTCACCTTGAGGGCAACCTCAGGAGAGCCCCACACCACCCAGCTAACCCGGAGACTGCAGGCGAGAATGTATGTTCCTGTCATAAGGCACAAGTTTCAGAGCAGTGTTGTTACATGGCGTAGGTAACTGGTGCCTAAGTGTGACTCCCTAACCACAGTGCTCACCTCCACTCAAGAAACTGCTGACGGTGGATCAGACATCTTGACAAAGAGAAACCAATGGAACAGACATCTGAGAAATAGGAGAAGAGCTGTCCTAGTCAGGCAACGTCCGGCCTCGGAGTGGATGGGGAAGGATGGAGGCAGACAGGTGGGATCGCAGTGGGGGGTGCATTCTGTCCCCGCTCCCCAGGCTGTGCGGACCCACAGGGCAGAGGCTGCCGGCCTGCTGTTCCCTCCTGCACAGTGCCTGGGGCGCCAGGCTCATGGGGTGCTCTCAGTGGAGAGGTTAGAGGGACTAGGAAGGAAGACCTCTTGTCCCAGGCAACCTGCAGAGGCCGGGAGCCCTGGGGGGAGGTCCTGGGAGGAGCCCTGGGGGGAGGTCCTGGGAGGAGCCCTGAGGGAGGCTCTGGCCCTGCATCTGCCTGGAGCTTTGCCCAGGATTGCCGTTCTCGTCTTCCCAGGATTCCGACTCTGTGCTTCGAAATGTCGTTACACGATCTCTTCTGTTGTCTTAGTTGGGGCTCTTTTTGTTACAAGTGACAGAAGCCCAATGTGAAGGAGCCTGTGCCTGGGGGTGCCTGCCCTGGGGGATCAGGGACCAAGCCACGTCTGCTCACGGTGGGACACAGTGTAGACACAGTGTTGACGTCTTAAAGCCTTACTTCTCATTCCATTACGCAGAGGAGTGACTTCAGCTGCCAGCCCTGGTCCCCAAGGCTCCAGGAGAGGTTCTGTGGGACTAGACCCAGGTCAGCGGCTCTGACAGGGACAGGATCGCGCAGCGCAGACATGGCCGTCGGCTGAAGGGCCTCCTGTGGTGCGCAGGCCACTGCCGGCTCATGTCCAGGTCATCTCTCCCGCGCTGCAAATCCTGCTTGCCCAAAGTAAAAATGGAGCGTGTAAAGTTAGCACGGTGGACATTTGTGCACTTATGGGACAGAGGAGGCTTGAACTTCATTCCGAGGGGAAAGAAGCCAGCCCTGGCTTTCTTACTCTGTTAGATAACCCTGTCTCTCTAGGTTTCAAAAATATCTTCATCCCATCGCAAGTGACCAGGAGGGACTTCTGGGCCTCACCCAACTCACTACCGCAGTGAGTCGCTAGTACTGGTAAGATGACCTGTGGGTTGGGTCAAGGGCTCCCGGAGTCCTCTGCCTGCTATGATGCGTGAAGTTCTTCCATTCACCATGTCTCTCAGTGAAACTCGGTCCCACAAGCCCCTCCGGGAGAGCTGGTTTTGTCCCCTGAGTGCCGAGATGCATAAGAAAGTGGCTGGTGGGTTCCTCAGGACGCCACAGTCCAGTGAGGAGAGCAGAGGGTGCAGCAGCCCTTACGGCCGGGTGAGGGGTACGGGGGCTCCAGGCAGGCACAGCTGCTGAGAGAGAGGGGTCGGGGCAGTCGTCACCATCAAGTGGATGGCTGAGGCAGGACGTCCCTGCGGGCTGATTGTCCCTGGTCCTGACCAGATTTGCTGTGACCACCTGGCTGGGCCCTGAAGAGGGCAGAGGAATTGCTCAGGTGGGGCCAGGGCACAGGGCTGAGGCCTGCAGTCGGGCCGTGCCAGGTTGCAGATAACATCCGGGGCACCCCTGAGCAGGCGGCTCTTCTGAATCGCTCTGTGTTTTGCTCTCTGTTTTCTGCCTTGGGAAGTGATTATTTTTCAAAACATTCTCTTAAACGTGGCGGGGGCAGGGCACTAGAAGCATCCAGGCATGAAGACAGCCCCCAGGTCAGCAGGGCTGGGGAAGCTGGGCTGGGCGGGGGCTGGAGGACAGGAGGCTGTGCTCCTATCACGGTCTGTCCCTGGCGTGAGCAGTGCAGGTGTGACAGTTCTGGGGTGGAGCTTACTTTTCAACTGAAACCACTTTCCCATGGACGTGCTTGCCTGCCTGCCTTTATTATTATAGTTTAATGTGTTTCATTGTCCATGTTAAAAATGCTTGTGTTTATTTTGCACCAACTGTTCAAAAAAACCCACCCATTCTAAAATCCAAATAGGATTTCATCTGAGTTATAAACCCACCCATTCTAAAATCCAAATAGGATTTCATCTGAGTTATAAACCCACCCATTCTAAAATCCAAATAGGATTTCATCTGAGTTATAAATACAACAGCCTGGCAAAGGGCAAGTCAATGGAATCAATACGATCTGCCCTAGCGTCCGCGTATTTTCCAGCCTGCTCCATTGCTAATCACTCCTGAAGCCTCCTTGGTGCCCCGGCTTTATTGATTGCCTCTGCAGAAGAATGTGTGTGTGTGGGGTCCCCAAGGACACAAGGACGCCACTGGCAGGGCCAGAGACAGAGGCATGCTCTCCAGAGGCCTGTCCTGCTGCTGCTGCTGCTGAGCAGGACTTTGGGCCAGCGGCCACCCATGATGACATTGAAGCTGGCCCCAGAGATCCCAGGATAGAGGCCCCAGGGCAGCACTGCCTGCTCCACCTCCACAGAGAAACATCCCTGTGAGCTTGGGGTGTGGAGAAGACGAGGGAGGAGCCCTCCGTGGATGCCTTGGGCTTGGAGGTGTCTGCATGGATGAAGGCTCAGATGGAATCACCCCAGTTCTGCTGCTGCAGTAGCTGTGTGGCCGTGGGCAGGTTCTTCAAGCTGTGCCTCAGTCTCCCTGTCTGTAAAGGGGGACATCATGTACCCTTGGAGCAGGGTTGAGGTGAGGAGTCCACCAGAGCCTGTCTGTGAGGTGGAGGGGCTCGAATAACGTCCACTAAAAGTTCATGTCTGCTCGGAACCTCGGAATGTGACCTTTTTGGAAATGGTCTTTGCAGATGTAATTAAATAGGGGTTTGAGATGGAATCATCCTGGACTAGGGTGGGCCCTAGCTCCAAAGACTGTTGTCTCTGCAGGAACAGAAGACAGAGACACTGGAGGAGGCCACATAAACACAAAGGCAGAGACTGGGGCCATGTGGCCGAAAGCCAGGAGCACCGAGGACTGCCATGGCCACCACGGAGAGAGGCCTGGGACAGACGCCACTGCAGAGCCTCCAGAGAATGCAGCCAGCCTGCAGCTCGCGTGCAGCCTTCCAGCCCCCTGAACTGTGAGAAGATGCAGTTCTATTTTAAGCTGCTCTGTTTGGGCACCTTGTTACAGCAGCCCCAGGAAGCTACTCAGTGGGCGTTTGTGGTTGGCCGCTGAGCATTCCCAAGGTCACGGCCCCATCCTAAGCCCTGGGACCTGTGCACGTGACCTGTTTTGGAAAAAGGGCTTTTGCAGATGTAATTAGCTTAAGGATCTTGAGATGAGAAGATTATTCTGGATTACCGTGGGCCCCAAATACCATCTTAAGTGGCTCCGCAAAAGATTTGGCACACGGAGGAGGCTGTGTGACCAGAGGAGAGACCGGAGTGATGTGGCCACAAGCCAAGGGCACCGGGAGCCCCCAGAGGCCGGAAGAGGAGAGGAAGGAGCCTCTCTAGGAATGGCCTGCTGACGGCAGCCTCCAGAATGGGGAGGGAATCAAGTCTGTGCTCTCATACTTAGGAGTGTCTTACGGCAGCCTCAGGAAACAGACGCAGTTTCCCATTCACAGCCTGGCCTCTGTCCCCATCTGGGGGTTTCCCCACAGCCTGGCCTCTCCCTGTTGCCCAGGCTCTCCCCATAGCCAGGTCTCTCCCCATATCCTGGCGTGTCCCTGCAGTCTGGCTTCTCCCCACAGCCTGGTGTCTTCCCATAGCTTGGAGCCTTCTCACAGCCTGGAGTCTCCCCTGCATCCTGGGGTCTCCCTGCAGTCTGGCTTCTCCCCATATCCTGGGGTCTCCCTGCAGCCTGGGGCCTTCTCATATGCTGGGGTCTTCCCGCATCCTGGGGTCTCCCATATCCTGGGGTCTCCCTGCAGCCTGGGGCCTTCTCACAGCCTGGGGTCTCCCCACATCCTGGGGTCTCCCCGCATCCTGGGGTCTCCCCATATCCTGGGGTTTCCCCGCATCCTGGGGTCTCCCCATATCCTGGGGTTTCCCCGCATCCTGGGGTCTCCCTGCAGTCTACCCATGGTGCCAGGGCAGCTCTTCCTCCTGACATGTGTGGGGGGCCCTGGGGTGCAGAGAATAAACTCCACCCATCGGATGTGAATTCCAGCAGCCCTGAGGGTGGGTGAGTTTCCTGGAGCAGTGGGCGAGGGTTCAGGGATGCAGTTCGCTGACTGTCCAGCTCAGCACGCCCAGGGAGCTGGCAGGGTTCCCTGACCCCGGGAAGCAGGTGGAGGCTGAGACAAAGGCCAAGCCAGCTGGAGGCTTTAGGGAGACGCACTGGGTCCACTCCACAGGCAGCAGGACCCCAGGCTCACTGTGGGCATTTGAGGAGTGGGTGTCAGGGTGACCAGAAGGAGCCAGGGTGGAGGTCGCAGGGTGTCATCTCGGTGGGCAGAGCCTCGGGGCCCTGGGGTGGAGGGAGTGAGGCTGGAGAGCCTGGCTGGCTGTGCTGGACGCCTAACACGGTCCCGGAGATGGCACTTCTCCCACGGACGAGGGTGGGCGACGCGGGAACAGACTGCCCGTAATCGGGTTCCAGGTCCAATAAAGGTAAACCTCGAGGTGGAAAGGACCTAGACGCAGGTGAACACGGTCCTCCGTGTGTGAGTGCATGTGTGTGTTGTATGTGTAAGCGTGTGGCCATGTGTGTGGTGCTGGAGCCCAAAGCCTATCCACGGCAGCCCATTGGTGGGTCCGGCCCTGCCTGTGGATTCAGCTCTCCACTGCAAAGCAATATGCAGTGTGTGAAACGGCAACACAGATCGTGGCACCACCATGAGCCTCACTGTTAGATTTGGATTGGAATCCCTCCCTCTCTCCCGCTTTAAACTGTGGGTCCTTGGAAAAGTTACCTGACGTTTCTGATTTTCACATTCTTACCTGTAAACCCTCCCAGAGTTGAAATGAGCCGTGTGGGAATGGGGGTGGGGATGGGGAGGCGCGCAGTCACCCTCGCCTTCCTTTTCTTCTCTCGGTAATTGTGTTCTTCTATGTCAAAGGAAAAGAATAAAACTGGAAAATTATTTGGGGGAAAAAGAAAAAGACACACATGCAAGTGCCACAGGAACCTGCTGGGGGAGAGATGCTCTGTGGCCTTTGGTAAGTCAGCCTTCAGCCTAGCAGTTGTAGGACCCTCCGTGGTTCTGGATCCGCATCAACTAGAATTCTATGTTCCAGGGAAAACTGCTTTCAATGCTGACTTACACTTAACACTGTAAGGCCATGGAGCAGAGTAAACATCCCGTCCCATCATGCCCCACGCCCTCCGGAACACCCCGTCCCATCATGCCCCACACCCACTGAAACTTCCCGTCCCATCATGCCCCACGTCCTCTGAAACATCCCATCCCATGCCCCACGCCCTCCGGAGAGTGAGGGCTGCAGGGCCAGTATCTGCCTAGCCCGTGGCAACCTCAGCCCTCAGAGAGCAGCCCTGGTTGCCAGGAACCCAGAGGGCAGAACCCACACTGACCACTAACCATTGGCAAAGCAGCGGCTCCTCTGCAGGGGCTTTTACGTGTTGGTTTCTTTGGCACCATCCAACAGAAACAGAATGGGAGCCACAAATGGGCGCCACATACGTAACTTAAAGTTTTCTAGTAGCCACGTTAAAAATGTTCAAAGGTCATCTTAATTTTAATAATATGTTTTATTTAATCTACTAGATCCAAAATTACTATCATTTTAACAGGTACTCAAAATTATTAATGAGATCTTTTACATTCTTTTAGAAGTGTTTCATAACGTCTCTGCAGCAGCCACATTCCCCATGCTCAGCAGCGGCTCACAGCCTGGATGGCAGTGCGGTGTAGACACTTGAGCTGTGGGCAGGACTCTTCCCAGTCCTCATGGCTGAGCACACAGTGCCGGGCCAGGTGGTGCACGCTGGGGGACCATGGGCCGGGCTGGTCCTGGCTCTGCACTGTCCCTGTGACCCTCGGGATGTTCCTCAGCGTCTTTTGGCGATGGTTCCTTTCCTGTAGGATGCGAGGCTGACAGCATCTGCTGCTAGGAGTTGTGAGGACACGTGAGTTCATTTCAGTTGGGTGCAGCGCCGGCCTAGTAATCTCACTGACCCTTGGTCGCTCAGCCAGTGACTGTGCCCACCTGCCACCATCAGAAGATGGCGGACTTGGGGGTCAGGAGAGCCCTTCCAGGACTGCAGAAGCTGGTCCTTGGGGGTCTCGCAGCAGATCCTGGGGGCGTTCCCAGTATGGGTGCAATGTACATGGGGGGCTCAGGACGGGAGGCCCATGCCAGCCCCTGGGCCTCCAGAGCTGGCAGAAGGCACAGCCCTGCATGGCCAAGGGCGCTGGGCTGCGTGGAGAATGTGCGGGTTCTGTTGTTCTGCCAGCTTAAGCAGTTTACCAAACCAAACAAAAAAAAGGATATGCAACAGGGACAGCATGTGGCCCACGAGGCCTCAAATATTGCCTCTGGCCCTTCACAGAACACGTGTTCTAGAAAGGAAATCCTATGCTCGCGGGCTAGGGGCTTGCTGGGTGGGGAGAGGGGTTCAAAACGTGGTTTGTCACTTCCTATGAGGGTGATCCGACAGGACTTCGTGGAGACGGTGGCGTTTAAGTGGCCTAAGAAGAACTGGAAGGATTCAGAGGAGCGGAGGGACGTGGCCTGGTGGGCAGAAGCCATGGCTGGGTGTCGCAGGCTCTGTGCAGCTCTGACAGCTGCAATGCAGGCAGGCACCCCCCCACCCCATGCTTTACGGCCATCGGGTCTGCAAGTTATAAACTTGGTTACCCCCAGAACGTTGTTTAAACAGTACTGTGTTCTAGAACATGCTGAGATAGCATTTATGCAACTGATGCCAAGGTGTGGAACAGGTTAGTCTGGCTTTTTCCTCAACAATCCAGGAGGAGGACAGGGAGAAGGCAGCATTGCTCCTGAGCGGGTGAGGCCAATTTCATCCTGAGTGATAGTGACAGTAATAACTGATAAGAAATGAAATCACAGCTTTTCACACGCAGAGCCTGACAAATGGCTGACCCTTCCTCCATCTCTGGGTGCTCATGCTGGAGAGCGACGGGCCCTCCCTCCACTGCCGGGGGGGGACGTGCTGGAGAGCGACAGGCCCTACTTCCGATCCTTGGTGCTTTTGCTGGAGAGCAAGGGGCCCTCCCTCCACTCCTTGGTGCACGTGCTGGATAGTGACGGGTCCGCAGTCCACTCCTGGTGCTCCTTCTGGAGTGACAGGCTCTCTCTCCACTCCGTGGTGCACGTGCTGGAGAGTGACGGGCCGGCAGTCCACTCCTCGTGCTCCTGCTGGAGAGCGACAGGCCCTCCCTCCAATCCTTGGTGCTTCTGCTGGAGAGCGACAGGCTCTCCCTCCACTCCTCGGTGTGCGTGCTGGAGAGTGACAGGCCCTCCCTCCACTCCTCATGCTCCTGCTGGAGCGCCGCAGGCCCTCCCTCCACTCGTGCTCCTGCAGGAGAGCGACAGACCCTCCCTCCGGTCTTCGGTGCGCGTGCTGGAGAGCGGCAGGAGCTCGGCCTTCTTAGGGTGTTTGGGACCCCATCCAGCGTGGTTTTGCTTTAGTTCCCCGCCCAGGGAGAGGAGCTCGGCAAGCAGCACCGGGTTTATTCTTGCTCATTTATTCAAAAGAAAGGTACTGAGTTTGAAAATGCACCAAGCACTGGAGAGAAGAGAAAGGTGAAAGGACCTCGGGGCCTGCCTGTAAGAGGCTCAGGATGTGATGTGGCTGGGGATGAGGCCCGGTGGCACCTTCAACGCAGGAGAGGAGGGGGTCTGGATCCCACCGTCAGAGCACGCACGCAACCTGTCCACTCCCTCAGGACTGCAGAAAAGGTCCATTCTTGTATTTCTTTTTAAGTTGAATTAAATCCATCTCTAGCCCCTGCCTCTGAACTGATGGAGTCTGGCTGTCATTGGGCCTCCCTCACCCGCAAGGGGTGGAACCAGAGCTTGGGGCTGAGGCGCTCCTGGAGTGTTTAGCGCCTCTGCTGTCAGGACATCCTGTGGCCACTGGCACGCTGTCTGCCCACACAGTGCCCCCGACCAGCAGCGGAGCCACCCACTCTCCACAGCCAGGGTTGGGAGCCCTGGGGCCCGAGTCCCCGGTCCCACGTGCCACACAAGGCAGGACATTCTGGGTGCTGTCGCATCCCCGGAATCAGGGCCTGGACCCTGGTCAGAGCAGGACCTGCAGGTGACCCCGGGTGGGGCAGACTGTCTTCTGTCCTTGGTGGCAAAGCCGGTGTTCTCGGCGTCATGTCTGCACACGTGTGCCTGAAGCCACGGGAACGCAGGGGCTACCTCTGGGCCTGGGCCTGGACCTGTGGAGCAGGATCGGGGAGGACACACAGGTGGGCGTCTCAAGAACTGTGGTGTACACAGCTGAGCCCCTGCAGCTCTGCTTTGCCGGGCCTCACCCTCGGTGCTGGGTGCAAGACGTGACAAGATGGCATGGGAAGCTTCCCGGGGAACGCTGGAACTGGGTGTTTGAAGGAGGACCTCATGGCGGCAGCTCCAGCCCAAGTACTGCAACTGTGGGGCCGTGCCAGGAGCAGGTGCTGCGGAGCCTGTGTGGGTCCAGGACAAGAGGTAAGGGGAGTGTGGACGGGGCTGCACTGTCCTGGGGTTGAGGGCAGGCTTCAGGGGGTGACACTGAATAGGGACTAGGAAGGTGCATGCCAGGAGGGGTCCAGGCAGAGAGAACAAGTGGGGGCACAATCCTCGAGGGGGCATAGAAGAGGCCAGCAGTGTAAGGCAGGATGGCGATGCCCATGGGCTCCAACGCCTGCTGTGTAACTGGAATTCTGTCTGTGGCCTCCGGCGTCTGACATGCGTTCTCACACCTGCAGGAGCACCAGAAGCTCCTGGAGGGCGGTGCAGACGACACTGTCGGGCCGGCCCAGCCCAGGCCCCAGCAGTTGACTCCTCTGTGATCAGAGGATGTGGCTGAGGATGTGCATTTCCGTCAAGTTCCCAGGAGAACCTGGTGCTGCTGCTTCGGGGACCCCACTTTGAGGACCACTGATCTAACACTGCCCCTCGTGGCAAACGCGGAATGACTCAAGATTCAGCTGGATGGATCATTCAGGGAGCAAATCCACCCTTGCCGCCTGGCACACCCTGGCCATTCGGTAACGATGCCATCAGGGTTACTGGCTTCTTCATTCTCCACTGTGCATTCCAGGGTGGGCATTTCCACAGTTGTGAGCCCATCATCAACTCAGCGAGTTCCCATTTTCCAGTTAGAAAATAAGCTTTCTGATCGTTAGCCATTCACTTCAATTGGCTCTAGAAAAGATTTCTGGGATGTATAATTTATTTTTAACATAAAGAAAAGCTAAGTGTAAACTAGATAAGCTACAATTGTCCCAGACGTTATAGACACTCACAGCACCGTTTTCCTCTTCTAGCAAAACAAAACAAAAAATTCTGCAATCATACAGGCAGTAGGAAAAAAAAATTAGCTGGACACCATGGCTCACACCTGTAACCCCAGCACTTTGGGAGGCCGAGGTGGGAGGATCACTTGAGGCCAGGAGTTAGGGACTGGCCTGGGCAACATAGTGAGATCCCATCTTTATAAAAATAAAAAAAATCTGGGCGTGGTGGAGCACACTTGTGGTCCTAGCTACTCAGGAGGCTGAGAGTGGGGAATCGTTTGATCCCAGGAGGTTGAGGCTGGAGTGAACCATGTTTGCACCACTGCACTTCAGCCTGGATGGATGACAGAGTAAGATCCTGTCTCAAAAAAAAAAAAAAAAAAAAAAACAAAAAAACCAGGAAGAAATAATCCAGGCAAGAAACGAGGCAATGATACTGTCACCTGGCCTGGCCTCATGCCAGCAGCATGGGGGTGGGGCTTGGGAGGGAGGGTGGATTTAGGCTTACCAGCTTACTAGGGAACTTTGATCTCTGTTTCTGATTTGCCGGGCTCATGTCTAGCTGGAGCCTGGGCACTGCTGTCTGCTTTCCCGCACAACTGGCCGGGGACAGCTCTGAGCCCCGAGCCTGTAAAGGACGGGCTCCATAATCCTCTGGCAAATCCTGTAAGATGCCTGCAGTAAGGTGCCAGGTTGGAGCAGAGGAAGAGCCTTACACTTCATCCCTGAAGTCACATTTGAAGGAAGACCCTCAAGGTGGAGGGCTTCTAATTACATCTTCATCTTTCTGGGCTTAACAATAGTTTCAGTTCTCTTTTTGAAGAGAAAGATCTTGAAACCTCCTTGGTGTCCAACAGTCCTTTTGGCTGTCTCACCTCTTTTTTCTTTTCTTTTAATGCATAATTAATCTAGATGTCAGCAAATGGGCTGAGACTGTCTGGTAGATGCAGTGTTTGTATGTTTCTACTCTATTACAAAAATTAACAGAAATATGGCTTCGCTTTGTGCAAATGTTTATATCACAGTCTGTAAAATGAATTATATTTAAAACTATCCACAAAGCTAGATATTTAGAGAACCCTTGGCAGAGTTCTTTCGTAAAGTGAAGACATTTTCAGGTACTTTAAGTTCTTCAAAAGCAGGAATAACTGTGTAAACGTAAGGGCAAAAGGCCTTTCAGGCATGAGAGAACACATGAAAACACGTGTCTGGCTTCAAAACCACCCCCAGCCCCTGCCTGCCTGCGTTTTACGCGCTCTTCCTGTGCTTCATTATGCGTCGTGCTTCCTGTTCCACTCAGCTCACTCTCCACGTGGACGTATAAACTATGGGAGAAACAGTGATGGCCTCTCCTCCACCGCCAGGCTGGCAGGGGTCGTTTGGCTGGCATCAGGCTGGAGGAGACTCGGATGGGTAAGACCAACGCACTTAGTTTTGGGTGTGTGGGGAGGGCAAGAGGAGCATGAGCGGCGATCTGTGGGGGGTGTCTTCCCTGTTGTAAATCTCCCTGTACGTGCAGGTGCACGGCGAGAGGGTCTCCACACCTCCCAGCTTTTCTCTGAGGATGTCCAGAAGGAACGAGCAAAGCAGGATTGGCCTCCAGAACAGAGGCCCCGAGGCTGACTCCAGATTTCCTGTCTACGAGCTGTGTCCTCCCAGCACGCCTGCCCCTTGCATTCATGAACAGTGACCCAGCTGCAGGGACTGCGTGGCTGAACGCCGACCAACTGCGGGGAAGTCCTGGGCTGGGCCGTGGCTTGGGACCAAGAAGACACGCAGCAGACACCAGTGAAGCAGGAGTTTTATTGAGTTCCTCCATGTCACATTAATACATTAGCTTCAAGACACAGTTTCAAAGACCCGGGTCCTTCTGACGTAGTGTGTTGGAGGCAGCTAGGCCAGCTTGAGGCACTGTGTGTTGAAGCTGTCCCCCTCCTTGCCGGCGACAGCCTCCAGCAGGGCCTGTTTCTTCTGCATGCTCCGTGAGGACTCCAGCTCGTACATGGTGGTCAGGTTGAAGAGCACGCTCTCGTGCAGGTAGTGCCTGGGGTCCTGCTGGACCATGGCCTCCAGCTGCCGCAGGGAGTCCTTGAGCTTGCCCAGGTAGAGCAGACACACGGCAGCGTTGTTGTTGGCCTAGGGAGGAGCACACGCCCAGGGTTGGCCCACACAACCAGGACAGACGCCCGCCCATTCCAGGCTGCGTGCTGGGCCGTGTTAGGGGCCTGGGGGTGGTGCAGAGCTGCTGGGCAGAGCCTAGGTGGCCCTGTTGGGTCACTTCCCCTAAGGGCCACAGCCACTGCCTGGAGCTGGTGGACTGGAGAGAGAGAGCGCAGGCCCCTGCTGAGACGTGTGTGGGTGTATGTTTCTAGCGTCTGTGAAAGGCAGAGGATGGAGGATCCTGCAGCTTGGGGATCTTACCACTGCGTTTCTTGGATCCATCCTTAAGATCTCTGTGAAGAACCTGTGGGCTTCTGCAAAGTTATTCTGCCCGAGGTGAAGGAACGCGCTGTAACACAAGCAACGGTGGCAGTTAGCGGGGAAAGCCCAGGAGCTGCTGTCCCCCAACACAACCCACAGGGGCTTTGGATCCCACAGAGACCCAGCGTATGGCCCTGTGTGGCCCGGGGTTCCTGATCTCCAGGTAGAGGCGGTGAGCTGCGTTTTGCATTCAGGCTCGCACATTAAAGCCACTCTAGTTTTTATTTATTTTTATTTTTTAGATGGAGTTTTGCTCTCGTTGCCCAGGCTGTAGTGCAGTGGCACGATCTCGGCTCACCGCAACCTCCGCCTCCTGGATTCAAGCAACTCTCCTGCCTCAGCCTCCCAAGTAGCTGGGATTACAGGCGACTGCCACCACGCCTGGCTAATTTTTTGTATTTTTAGTAGAGATGGGGTTTCACCATGTTGGCCAGGCTGGCCTCAAACTCCTGACCTCAAGTGATCTACGTGCCTCAGCTTCCCAAAGTGCTGAGATTACAGGCATGAGCCACTGCACCCGGCCAAGCCACTCTAGTTTTTGTTAATTGAGATAGAGTAACTTCACCTAAATGACTTCCTGCTAAAAGCGGACACCTGCTTTATTTACGCTTTCTGATCCTGGCTGCAGGCTTTGTCCAAGGCGTGTTTCCTCCTCACGAACGTGCACTCGCACGACGCTGTGCGTTCTACCACAGAACACCAGAGCACGGGATCCAGACACAGAACACCAGAGCACGGGATCCAGACACAGAACACCAGAGCACAGGATCCAGAACGGCCGCTACGCCAGCAATGGTGACCTTTACACACACATACGCTGAAAACGGGGGCAATACAAGCGCTTCTCTGAAGAACAAGGGGGAATAGCTCCTTAAAAATCAGCTTCTGTGACTAAAAGAACATCACTGCGATTCAAGAAAACACCTGTATACTCCTTGGGTCTCCGCTCTGAGAGACACAGGGCAAGAGGAGATACAGGGAGAAGCGCCTTCTCTAGGGAGCTTTCCAACTCAGTAAGTGGGGCTTGAACGCCTCTGGGAAATTTGAGAAAACATATATTTAGTTTTAAAATATTTACCTGTTCATCAAAACCATGATTTTACCCTGTAGTCCATCTAATTTCTGTGTTACTTTCTCAACGTCTTGAAAATACTTTTCAGCTGTTTTTATGTCTCCAATCTGCTTTGACAAAATTTAGTCAGTTTAGTTGACAAAAGAAATATTAAGTCTATACTCATATATTTAGTTCCCTAATATCATGTTAGAATATGAAGACATTTATATGTCAGGCAGAGGAAAACTTCAGTAACCATTTAATCATTTTTTAATAAAAAGGCAAAAGACATTTAAGATACAGTGGAATGTTAATGTTCTATATGTCAGAAACTAAGTTGCTAATATACACGCCTTATTTAAGAGTCTTATAGTTTAGTAATTTTTACCTTTTGGAATGAATTCTGGCAGAGCATTAGATAAAATAAAATGAATAACTAATAAGATGAAACATAAAATACTTAAAATATTGGTATAATATGAGCAGGTCCTACGTCAACTTATGAGTTACTTGTGGCTAGTAAAATGGTAGGTGCCACCACATTTGCAAATTGCAAAGTAATATTTTGACCAAATAATATAGAATTCAACTGTAAAAAACAAGCCAAACCAAACTCAAACCCACTCTTATCACGCATGTCAGGAAACCCACCGGCTGCCCGACTGAAATGCAGCCGGATGCAGCAGGCCTGTGGCAGAGGAGGCCTGGGGGGTGGAAGGCTGAGTGCCCCAGCCCTGACTCCTGAGGCCACAGCTTGGTTTTACAAAGGCAGACTTGGGTTTTCTTTCACCTCTAGAAGTGTAAGGAAGGGAATAAATGATCTAAGGCTTACAATAAGAAATAGATACAAATGAAAGAAAAGTCCTATTATGGCCCAAGCCGCGCTCACGAGGGTAAAGACAGAGTTGCTTTGTGTCCGGGGCACAGCCTGCGGGAGCCAGAATGTGACAGCGAGCTCTGTTATCATGGCAGCAGCAGAAACTTAACAGAATGCTGTCCTCTGTCTCGATGAGAAACAAGCTGAATGCGCGCGGCTCACCTCCATGAGGAGGGCTGGGGCACCCATCACTATCATACTGAGCAGCCTAGTTAACTCTTAGACTGTCCACGCCAAGCATCTGTCCAGCATTAAAACAAGCCTGCTAACTTCTCAGATGACTGGTGGGGAGATGGTTCTCCATGGGTGTCATGTTTCTGCATGTCTTCCAAGCACAGACAGTGACAAGGCTTTGTTCAAAGCATTTACACAAGGATGCCTGTTTAGAGGACAGCCTTGTAAGCTAAACTGCATCCCTCTGGGGCAAAGGGCAGGCAGGCTCGCCTCCCAGTAGCAAGGATTTGGGTGTTCTAAGTTCAGGATTCCTCTCCAGCCACACAGCCCACTGCAGGCCTCATGAGGCCCTCGGTGAAGACCCTGAGGAATCAGGGCCCCGTGGCTGGTGGGAAGAATGCCACTCTGGCTGTACTGCTGTTGCTGTGTAATAAATAGCCTTCCTCTCTAACGTAGGAATCTTACATTTTTTGCCAGCATCCATGAAAGTGGCAGCTAACTCCACAGCTTGGAAACAGGATAACATCTCAGGCCCTTCACAACTGTTGCTGTTATCCCACAAAAGAAATACCATACGAGGAGGAAGAAAAAACAGAATGAAACAAGAGAAAACACAGGCGTGCACACACACCACACACTGAATGGCATCTGTCCATCGCTGCCCGTCGTCTGCACAGTCCGAAGCCGTTTGAAGTCCACTACTATCGATTTCCCACTTGCGGACTAAAAAGAAACCGAAGGCAGCATGGGCTCCGTGACGCGGCCCTCAGCTCGAACGCCTGCATCTCCTGTCTAACAGGACCGTGTGAGACACTGAACTGAAGATGATTACAGCCCATCATCAAGACCGATCAAGATTAACGTGTGCCGGCGGCCGTGGCAAGCGCTTACAAGCACAGCTCGCCTGACCCTCGCGACAGCCTGGGATGCAGATGCTGTCGCTAGCTTCGCTTTCTAGATGAAGTCGTCGGGCTTGGAAAGATGAGACAATTTTCTGAGGTCACACAGCTAACACAGAACACTGTGGTCAACACCCAGGCTGTCCAACGCCCAGACCGTGTGCTGATCCTCCGCACTGCAAGGCCTCCTGAGGCTGGCATGGGACTTTACTCAATGTCTCAGAGGAAGATAACAGAGAAATCTTGGGATATTCTTTGCTACCCACTGACTTTCCTGATGATTAGAAAGTAACTTGACATTTTCAGAATTATTAAAATGTAATTAGGATACAAAATCCTACCGATTTCTAAAAGTTAGGAGCAACTGAAAAAATTAAACATAAAAATGCAATTAAAAGTATTCCAGAATATGTAGAAAACAAATCAGTAAAAGACACTATTAAAAAGGAAATACAGTGGCTGGGCATGGTGGCTCACACCTGTAATCTCAGCCCTTTGGGAGGCCGAGGTGGGAGGATCGCTGAATTTCAGGAGTTCAAGACCAGACCGGGCAACAAAGTGAGACCTTGTCTCCATTAAAAAAGAAAAGAAAATTAGCCAGGTGTGGCTGTAAGCACCAGGTGTGGCCGTAAGCACTGTGGTCCCCAGCTACATGAGAGGCTAAGGCAGGTGAATCTCTTGAGCCCAGGAGTTCTGCAGTGAATCATACCTGTGCCACTGCACTCCAGCCTGGCAGACAGAGCAAGATCCTGTCTCACAAAGAAAAAGACAAAAAACAGTGTATAAACTAATCCAGAAAAAGGAAGCATAAACAGAAATGTAAAAGTAGAAATAGCTACAGGCAGAACAAGGAAATGGAAATAATGGTAAGAGCACTGTCTTTTACTCTGTGCGAATCCACGAGAAAACAGGGACCAAACAGGTGGCTTTCTAGAAAACTCTCAGTTACCAAAATGGTTCCCAGAAACACAGAAAAATCCTCAGGCACACAACACTAAGGCAGATTCATAATAATAAATTAGGAAAAGCACACAGCACACCTCATGTGCTCAGCAAAGGCAATTCTTAGGTGAATACTCAAACCTTCAGGGAATAGATCATTCCACATTACTCAAGTTTTCCAGAGAGAGAGAAAGCAAGCTTCTAACTTATATGAAGACAGAAAACAGCCACCATATCCTTTTGAGATGTCACCTGTGCACACGCAAACCAGATACTAACATCACTTATAAACGCAGAAACCCGGGGAAACGCCGCCCTGGAGCTCCGACCTTAAGAGCAACACATGGTCAGTGTTTCCGTGGCAGAAACTGGAACTGTGCGCTGGGTCTGGCCCTCCCCTCCTTGGGCGCTGTCAAGGTTAATACTGAGTGTCAATTTAATTGAAGGATGCAAAGTATTGATCCTGGGTGTGTCTGTGAGGGTGTTGCCAAAGGAGATGAACACTTGAGTCAGTGGGCTGGGGGAGGCCGACCCGCCCTTAATCTGGGTAGGCACCATCTCTTCAGCTGCCATCACAGCCAGAATAAAGCAGGCAGAAGTTGGAAAGAGCAGACTTGCCGAGGTTCTGGGACTTGGACTGGCTTCCTTGCTCCTCAGCTATTGTGGGACCTCACCTTGTGATCGAGAGTCAATTCTCCTAATAAACTCCCCTTCATAGATTCATCTATTCTATGAGTCCTGTCCCTCTAGAGAGCCCCAACTAATACAGGCACTGAGGGGTGGGGGAGAGCTCCAGTTCTCAGCTCCTTCACCTGCTTCTCTGTCACAGTTTTGGGATTCCTCATCACCTTGGTGGCACGGAAGCCATTACAGATGGGCAATGGCCATTTTAAAGTGTTCTCAAGGCGGAGTGTCCTGCAGTCCATGGCTGTGAGCTGTTGACTGGAGAGGAAGGCAAGAATGATTCTTCTCTGTGGTGTGGGAGTCAGATGATTTTAAACCATCCAAAGACAGAACAGCTATGTTAACAGCCACATAGGTTGCTAGATGATATTAAATCTGTAGTCAGCTAGAAAACCCAGTTCTTTTCATATTTACCACTGATCAACTTTAGTCACAGAAGCATAGGTCTGCAATTGATACAGAAAACTCATTTCAGCTGGGCCCAGTGGCTCATGCCTGTAATCCCAGCACTTTGGGAGGCAGAGGCAGGAGGATTGCTTGAGGCCAGGAGTTTGAGACCAGCCTGGGCAACATGGCAAGACCCCCTCTCTACAAAAAACTTAGCTGGGCATGGTGGTGCATTCCTGTTCCCAGCTACTCGGGAGGCTGAGGCGGGAGGATTGCTTGAGCCCAGGAGGTCAAGGCTGCAGTGAGCTGCATTTGCGCCTCTGCACTCCAGTGTGGGTGACAGAGCGAGGCCTCGTCTCAAAAACAGACAAAAAAACCCACCAGAAAAACCCTACCCAAAAACCAACACGGAAAACTTTAGTCTAAATTTTTATGTTATAAAACATTCTTGTATTTTAAAGCTTATCAGAAAAACTGTTCCATTCCAACTGGGCAAATCCCCCCAGGCTAATGTACATAAACGAATAAAAGAAAGATGCGATCTATTTCAGAGTACCCTAGCTTCTCTTCCATGTTTTTCTTGAGTTCTCCTTCACCAGCTCCTCTTCCCGTCCCGGCGTGAGCACAGCAGAGCCGGCCCCAGGGGTGCTCTCCTTTCCCCTGACCCCCCCTCACCTGCTCTCTCTGCAGAACCCGAGGGCCTGCTGGGAACCAGGCAGGCTGTCAATGCATAAATTAGGCTGCATCCGTGCAGAAGCCTCCTCTACCAGACAAGCTTGACCTTGCCTTCCTTCTCTGTCCTTGTAGAATCCAGTGTGAGCAAGAATCCTGCTAAGTCAGTTTAAGAAAAGTCCCCGCCCTCGGTGTCTTAGCACCTGGAGATCCTACCACCCTGGCCGGCTGTCAGCAACGATCCTATCAAGTCTGCTTGGCCAGAAACCCCTTCTTGAAGCTTCCTCTGGGTGATTTTCCAACCAGGGACGCTGACCCTGACCCTGGTCCCTGGTTGTCAGTTCCCACCTGTCCTCCGTGAAGTCAGAGTTGAGTCCAGTCTCTCCCCTGCTGCATGCTAGTGCCATGAATCGTTTTTAATTTAGCAGCTGTAAGAGTTCTTCATATATTCTGGATGTAAGTCTCTTATCAGATACGGGATTTGCAAGCAATGTCTCCCATGCCATAGGTTGTCTTTTTACTTTTTCTTTATGGTGTCCTTTAAAGCACAACAGTTTTTAGTTTTGGTGAAATCCCACTTACCTACATTTTCTTTTTGCTTGCACTTCGGTGTCACATCAGCATGATGAGGCCTCACAGGGTGGCAGGGGCTGGAGGACGCTCTCCCCACTCTTTCCCTGACTGTAGCCAGCACACTCCACGGCTCAGGCTGGCAGCCAGAAGTCAGTCTCTTCTTTTTCTATTTGAAGGTCTCTGTTGAGCTATGGCTGATGTACAGGAACCTGCATGTCTTCAGATCGTACAACCTGAGGGATGCTGGTACGTGGCTGTGTGCGTAAAACCACCCTCCTCGTCGAGACGGTCAAGGTGCCCGCACCCCTCCTGGAGCCTGGGGTCGTGCCCCTCTGTAAAACGTGCTCAAGTCTTTCCCAGCTTCACAGCGCTTCCCTGGCCCTTCCTTCCCTTCTTCCACCTCAGCGTCTCCCCACCCTGCCCTGGGTTCCTGCTCTCTGGGAACTCGGTCAGAGGTGACCTTGGTTCTTGCTGAGGTCCTCTCAGCCATAGCGGTGAGTGGTCCTGCATCCCGTCCCCCTTCGTCCTGCCTGGGGTGGCTGGTTTATCCCAACTTCCCACCACTCCTGCAGTGGCTGAGGCTTTCTCCTGCCTGATCACCTTGGGCTCTGACCTTTGGTCCAGGACACCGAGGCCTAGGACTGGCCACAGACACTGCAGAACCACCCTGCGCTCAGCTGCCCCAATGCCAAGCACAGGCCCCTCGTCTGTGCTTGGCTGCTGGACTTGCACCTGCGCACCACAGCTACTTTCCCAGTCCAAGTGAGGATCCTCTCAGACCCAAGTCCAAGTGAGGACCCTCTCAGTCCCAAGTCCCAGTGAGGACCCTCTAAGACCCAAGTCAAGAGATTCTGAGGTGGAATCTAAGTTGGAGTGAAGTAATTCTAAGAAGTATGAATATAATGCTTCTTCTGTTTGAAGATCAGTTGCTTCTGCCCCTCCTTAATTTAGATTATGTGAGAAACTCCTCTGGAATACAAATGACTTCAATCTTGCTTACAACACAGATTTCCTTCAGAACTGGAAATTCCCACTGGGCCCCATTCTCTCTCCTCCTAACCCCCAGCCCCCTTGCTGTGTGGAGGCCCTGGTGCTCTAAAGGAGGCTCTGTGTGATGAAGATGAAGGGACTGTGGAAATGATCACAGCAGGCATGTGAGTTTTGAAACACGGCTGTCACCTGTCTGGCGGGTGCGCTGACAGTTGGCAGGGAACGTGGCTATGATAGTTCTGCCTGCGGGACGAGGCCGAGGGGGGAGATGGATCCTCCCTTATATGCAGGCATTAAACCCCAAGTACAATTCTGTAATTTGAGCCAGGGTTTCCAGCTGGAATGTGAACAGCACACAAACCGAACAGGTGACCCTTTGCTCAGTGCCCAGAATTATGCTATGAATTTCTTGGAAAGAATAAGGATTGCTATTCAAAAGTAGAATACGTTTTGAAATATTAAAATTGAAAGTCAGCTCCTCGGAGGCCTAACACAAAGTGAGGGCATCTGTGCCATCCTTGTATTCGCCAGTGTATCTTCTCGTGTGACCGGGCAACTGTTGGTGTGGTCAGTGAGTGAGCTTCCTATTTTTAGCTCGCATATTTCAGAGGCACCTACATTCAATGCAAAATTTTAAACACAAAGAGGAGGTGCGGTGACAGTGTTCTCAGCCCAACTGTGTGGAATCATCTAGAACCTTGCTGTCCGTCCACCCCTTTCACCTCTGTCCGGCTGGGTCATCTCTGGAGTTAGCATGGTTCCTTTATAGCACGTTTTCCCAAAGGTGTCTGCATATTTTGTTTTAGCAAAATCATTTTTTTCTATTTCCACTCTTTAGAATTAAAATGGAAAATACTTCCTTTTTGATTAGTGTTTGCATTTCAGTGCTCTTGTTCAAATTTTCCCAAGCTCAGAAAAGGAAGGTGGCTGTATGTATCTTTCTCAGACTCTGCTACACACACTCACACACAAACAGAAGAGAAAGCTGAGGGTGGAGGTGTTCGGCCCACTCTTTTGCCAAGTATTAGATGACCTAAACATTCAGAAATGTTTGAGGTTGCTCTGTGTTACTGATTTGGCGACGGCACTGGTGGAGGCAGGATTGGTCTGTTGTCCATGAGAAGATTCACACTGCAGTGCCCACTATCAGCTGAGAGGGTGATCAGGACACAGTGCAGAGAGTCCAGCAGGAACAGGGCGGACAGCACGCAGTGCAGGCCATCGTTTGCCGGGGCTGCGAACCACGCACAGCAGCGCCCTGGGACGCTGGCCTGGAAGAATGGCCTTTTGGCGTGGGTCCCTGGGGAGGGGCACGTCAGCTTCCTTGTGGAACAGGGTGTTCTTAGGAGCTGGAAATCTGCCTTCTCCGCAGAGAAGCTCTGCTTGTGCTCCCTCCTCGCTAGGGTTGACCCGGAAAACCACAGTTCTTGCAGTAGTGCCAGGGCGTGAGCAGAATGGGCCCAGCTATGTGGGTCCCTCTGCCTTTGTGCTTTGCCAAGCGTTTCCCTACCTGCTGGGGACATTTCCTAGCTTTCTCCCCGAGACTCAGCATCGACGCGATGCCCACCTCATCTCCCACCTTCAATGCTGATGAAACCCAAATCCTCCCTGGTCTGGAGATAACATTCAAGATTGTAGAAAATGCCGAGCCTCCCTTGTATCTCCATGCACATAAGAGTAGAAACTAATCTCAGAGAAACGAAATCAATCTTATTCCACGCGCGTTTAGCTTTGTGTTACATGACTTCAGATGTTACAATGTGATTTGTAAGGGATGCTCATGACTGCTGCTGGCCCTGCCTTCCCCGATTCTGTCCATTTCCCACCTGTCAGGGGTCCTTTCAAGGAGGAACCAGGAGGCCTACATTCCTACTCTTGCAGGAGGGGCAACCCCGCAGCCTGGGCCCCCAGAGAGATGCACGCACATAAGGTGACATGGCCTGAGGAGGCAGCGGAAGCAGGAGGCCGTGTGGGGGACCTGGGTCTGCAGGGTGGGGACAAGACTCTGAGATGCCAGGCAGAGCTGGCAGTGCTATTCTTGCTGGAGGGGCCTGTGACGTGCTACGGCATCCTGGCTTTGTGGCTCTAGAATGGCCTGTCTCTGGGCCCTCATGAAGATTCCCTGTACTACTGTCCGTGAATAAACTTTTTCTGCTTATAGCAGCCACTGCGGATTCCACTGACTGCAACCAAAACCTCGTCCCGTACTTTCTAAGCACCTGCAGTATTATTTTACCATTTGAGGGACAGTTACTAATATACGTATTTCTTATGAAATTTACCCCTCTGACAGCACAGCACACAGGTGCTGACAGTGCATGTGATACTTCTTTGCTTCCGTAGTGGCACCAACTCATTTCAGAATGGCTCACACACAGCCAGTTTAGAGACCGTATAATTAAGATACAGGTACTGATGAGGTGCTTCAGGGAGAAGAACACTGCAAGAGCTGGAAAACACACGTGCTTTCTTGAAAGTGACTTCTCTGAGGGCTGTTTCTCCAAGAATCTAACCGTGGCTGAACACTCTGAGTTTAAAGTAGGCATTGAGCGCTACGTCCCTTCGGAACAGAGCTCTCTGCTGGCTTTTACGTGTTCATTCCATTTGAGTTCTTTCTCCTTAAAACAGAGCGCAGTCAATTCTGTCTACATTTAGTTCAGGCGTTTCTGCTGGACTCGAGTCCCCGTTCAACCCCATCTTGTCCTGCACCACTGACCTCTCATCGACTGCAATCTGACTCCGTGTGGCGTCCTCCATCCCGTGCTGAGATGCGGCATTGGGGGTGAGCAGGGTGCGCCAGCAGGAGCTCTGAGGCTGGCGCGTGGGGTGTGAGTGTCCGGATACGTGCGTGGGGACACGGCTTTTGCCCCTTCCTACAGCCCATCCTGGAGGGCCTCGTGCCCACGTGTGCACTGGAGTCACTCTATGGGGTGGCTGCCCCGCCGTGGGAGTGGGGCTTCCAAGGGCAATTCTGAGCACACGTACTTTTGCTGAGACCTGGGAATGCCGCCCTTACACTTGGATCTGTGAGGAACGGAACAAACACAACCCATCCTCAAGACATAGGAAAGACAGCAAGTTACGCTTACAGCGCTCCTGGCATGTCCCAGGCAGGACACAGAGGATTTCACATGGATAAACTTTATCATCTACACACGACGATGATGACTGCTCACGGCAGGCGGTTGTATGGGGGGACTGACACCATGAAGGTGAGATAAACTGCTCAGAGCCACGCCAGCCTGAGCAGCTGGACCAGGGTCGGGGTCTGTCTTGTTCCAAACCCCAGCTCCTGAGCCCTGTGCTTTTATCCCCCGTAGATGCCTTGGGGAAGAGGGAAGGGAGAGCTTGCTGAGAGGGCTGGGGTGACTTTAGAGAAGTCCTTCCAGTGAGCCCTCAAGAATGGGCAGGGTTTGCACAAGCAGAAAGAGAAGGGAGTTCTGAGCAGCAGGAACAGCCCACGAGAGGTCAAAGCAGCAAGTGTGGTCCCGTTTGGGCAACAGCAAATCAACTGTCTGGTGGGACTAAGGACATGAGGCGAAGAACACTGGGCTGGAAAAGGTTAGCTAGGGCTCTGAATGTGAGCTTTAAGTGTGGGCTCACCTGACAGGCCACAAGGCCCTAGCAGGACCTCTGACCAGAGACGGCAGGGTGGAGTGTACTCCCGGAAGGCTAATGGCAGCTACGCGCAGGACGGGGGACGAGGGACGTGCTGAGATCTCTGGCAGCTCAGCACCACGTGTACACACAGGGTCCCGCCTCTGCAACCCTCTGCTGAACCCAGCGGAGATGAGGAGAGGTCCCAACACAGGAGAGGTCTGGAGAGGGCGGGTCCAGGTGCACCCAGGAGTGTTTCAGAACTGGGTGGGGGTCTGCTGTGTGCTCGGGCATCCACTGGGCTGATATGTGGTCGTTCTTGCTGATCACAACGGTGCTCTCGGGCCTTGACTCCCACAAATGGCTGTGTTCTTCAAGGGCAAAACCTGCCTGCTTCATCCTTCTTCCCAGATCCAGCATCTTCAGACAACACACTGACCTGCCCAAGCCGGAACTTACTGGGGCTGGGTTTTCTGTATGTGCAGATGGCAATGCAGTCGTCAGCTGCGCGAGGCTGTCTGAGAAGTTCTGTAGCAGCCACGTCACAACGTCTTCAGAGATATCCCAAATAGCTAGGTATTGCAATCTCCATTTCCTTTAGAAAAACAGAATTCAGAGACCTTGCTCTTCAGCAACAGTAAAAATACCCATGAGCGAGGCCTGATAAATAATTTGCAAGAGATGCAGATCGAGGCACTTGTGTGGGGCGTCGGTGAGTCCAGTCGGCCTGGGTGCTTCCGTCTTTTTCTCCATTCTCCTTTGGCAAAAGCTCTTGCCCACAGCGCCGCTATCACCTCCCCGTGTCCTCAGAAAAGCGAACACCGAGGGCTTCCCTTGCAGCCTGGTTAGCACATTCTGTGCGCCAGATGGGGCTTAAATCACACTGTGGAAGCTGAGCCTCCCTCCTGAGACTCCAGCCTCATTGCCAGAGCCCTCGCTGTGGTCAAGCCAGTGGCTCCCCCTGGAAGGAGAAGCACTTCCAGACGCAAAAGCAATTCAGCATCTACTTCTCAAATTGTGCAAAATATGACTCTGAAATAAAATTTCCGAGATTGTCTCCAGGGTAGTGAGGAATCTGAGCAGGCCCAGCGTACTATTTTACTATGATAACCAGGGGATAATGTTACACATGAGGCAGCCTGGAGATCCTGGCCACACAGAGCTTTCTCACACAGGTAACGAGGGTTGCTGCAAGCATCCCAGTGCAGGCAGGAGCCGATGCCCATGGTGGCAGCTCACGCGTCACGCATCTGTGCCTGCCTGGGGTTATTCAGTGACAGTCATCTGCTGTGCCCCACCACAGGGGCCCATGGACAGGGCTGTCCTCCAACACTATCTGGTGTCCCATGTGGACTTCCACAAGCAGGCGGCGTGCAGGAGATGGTGTGTGCACGTGTGCCTACGTGTGTCAGTGCATGTGTGAGCAACTGTGTGGAGGGGGAGAGGACCAGCTGTTAGCTGAGAGTGCAGGCCCTGAGTTCACAGAGGCCCTGTTCAAATTCTAGCTTCCCCATTATCTATGTGGCCTCCTGTAGCTGGATATCACTTAACCAGGAGACCTCAGTTTGCTGATCTGTAAAACAAGCCAGTCACACCGTGAGGTGAAATGCTCAGCGCAGGGCCTGGCTCACCGTGAGTGGGTGCCTGTGGAAGGTCTGTGCTGCTTCTCCCCGCTCAGCCATCCCTTGCTCGTGCCTCCTTTCCCTGGCCCAGGTTTGGGACGTGACCTAAGACTGAGGGTGAGAGGGGCAGAAGCTGCCCTGTGCTCCGCCTGCAAGGGTGGGATTGACAGGGATGTGGGCGGGACTCATCACTCCCTGTGACCTCCCTGTCACCAAATATTCCAGGAAAATGCATTCCAGCTTCAAGGACATTCTTAGCAAAGGGGGTCCTGCCGAGCTTTGTGCATTACTGAGACCACTGTTCAGTCTGGACTTTGTCTGTCCAGCAAACATGATTCAAGGGTTATTTCAGGCAAAATATCAGCGAGTGACTATTACGGGATAAGCTGAACTGAGATTCCTCACGGTTTAGTCAGTGCTTTCGTAACTGCAGCAGGACAATGTCTAGAGTAACTCATTTCAGTGTGGCTGTGATGACACTTTCTGTGGGTTCACATTTAGCAACAGGCACAAAAGCCAGCAGGGCCTCCCACAGTCAAACCAGAACTCCTGGAAAGAACCCACCCTTTTCATGGTCACATACATTTGAATTGGAATATTTTCTGCAGTCTTTCTTATATTAAAATGATTAAAAGCAAACAGTCGCCCATCTGAGCAAAGAACTATCATAAGGCCTTTCTGGCTCATGTCTGACCGTGCACAGGTACCTGCAGGGAAATCCGGCCGATGCCGCTGAGCAGCTGGGGCTCTTGCTCTGGGTAATACTTGATAACCGAATGATACGCCTCCACGGCCAGCACATAATCCTGTGGGAAGAAAAACCCAACGTACTTTAGAGCTGAGAACAGCACTGTGGGTTTCACACGTGTAGAAGAGCACAAGTGTATACAGACGCGGTGTAGAGAGAGGACACGCTGACGCAGGAGCTGGCGGGGAAGCTGGAAACCAGCACGCGGTGCTCGGCTGCCAGGGGGCGGCTGCTCTCCCGACTGCAGTCGGGCCGGGATTCTGAGCTGTGCGCATCGCAACGGCGGGGTCCTGCCTGTCACCGGGGGCTGTCGCGGTTTAGTTGGGCCTGAGGGTCTGTTTCCTGCTTCCATCTTCTAAACAGCGATTCATATTTCACTTGGACTGCACCTAACTCTCTTTCCTGACAAAGTTATCATGTGAGTTGGCGAACGCTGTCTCATCTCCATCCTCCAAATACATAGGCCAAATTTTTAAAGTGTCTCTTAAACGTTTTCTATGCTAGAAATTAAGGTCAAACCTTTACATGTAAAGAAAAACCACAAAACAAGTTTGCTGAGGCTGAGTATGTGATGGAGGTCGGCCTTGCAGAGTGCGTGAATGTCGTGTGCTCCGTGCGGCACGCATGAGACCTTCCCGTTTTAGAGACAGCTACGGGGGAACATGTAGGAGCGCTGTGCCAGCTGCCGTGCTCAGGGCATCTGGTTTCTGCCAAAGGCCTTTGCTGGATTCCTCATCGCTCTGCCCTGCCTGTGGTGGTCTGGCCCGTGGCCCCTCCTCAAGGGCAAGGCCTGGCAGCACAGTCTCACTGTCCATCTGCCCACTCATGCCGGCCCATCACAGCCACTTGCTGGACGCTGAGCGGACCCAGTCACCCTTTCCAGGTGTGAGCAACGCGGTCTCCGTGCAGGAAGGTCTTGCCAAAGTCACGTGGGACACAGTGGTAGCTTGTCTCAAGTCCCCAGCAAACCCGGGCTCTCTCCAGGATGACAGTGATCGCCGCATTTATTGAGCGAGCTGTGTGCGGCAGGCCCTGCACTAAATGCTCCCCTGCATTCTCGCACTTAGCTATAAGCACGCGGTCAGCAGTAACTATGGCCACCAATGGTGTTTTTCTTCTTACTTACTCATCGTATAATCCCAGAGGTACTTTTATTTCTTTATTCTTCTACATGTTCCATTTCCTCCAAACTGGGACTGGAGTTACTGGCTTGCTAATTGGGATGTTACAAAGAAAGACAGACAAGTACAATTCCAGTTTGGTAGGAAGGAAAAAACAAAAAAAACCCAAAACGACTCTCTCCAGTCTAGTACCTTCGAGTACAGCTCATTAAAACTAATTTTATTCAAGGCCTGACGCCCATGACGAGCCAGACAGCACATGCCTCGGTCTCCTTTCCCACGCCTTCCTGCTGCCTGTCTCTGCTGTCTAGCTGTGCGAGTGCGAGCATGTGTGTGTAAGCGTGTGTGAGCATTGTGTATGAGTGTGAGCGTGTGTGTGAGCATGTGTGTGTGTGGACGTGTGTGTGTGAGCTCCCTCACACAGGGGAGGGCTTTGTGACCTGGCATGGGGGCACTCGGGGCGGCTGAGGTTGCAGCTGGGACGGACATGGCACCCCAGATGCAGCTGTGGGGCCTGCACACCCTGGGCTGGCCCTGATCTGAGAAGTTTAGGGGAGCAGCCCTGCTTTCCAACAGAGGCTGCACTCACCAGCTTGCACCAGCTCGGGGAAAAGTAGCAGCTGCCCCCCTAGGCTTCTCTGGGGAAGGAAGTAGGCTTCCGAGCACCCATCATGCTGGGCAATGTCTGTTCTAATCCCACACATGTCCCACCTTTGGTTTCAAGTAAACAAAAGGCAGGCTTTGACTTTCTTGTTATCAGCCCGGCAGTGTCACTGGGTCATTCCAGTGCCCCACTCACGCCACTGATGCTCCAGGCTGAGGCGGCCACCACAGAGAGCGCAGGGTGGGGGCGTGGTGGGGGCGCAGCACTCACTGCTAGTGGGCGATGCCGTGGCCAGCCGCATCACCCTAACCGCTCTTTCAGTGCTCAGGGCCAGGGGTCAGTGTTTCTGAAGATAATCTAGTATGACAAAAGACAGGTTTTTACGAAACCAAGCCATGCTCTTTGATGGGAAGTTACTTTAGGCATGGCTCTTCCCAAAGAGCACGTGCACAGGCCTGGGAGCCGTGTGAGAGGAAGCTGGATTCCAGGCCGGGGGCAGGCGCGGCAGAGAAGGGATCTCGGGGGCCCCTGCACCCGCCGGCAGCCACTCCCACCAGCTCAGCAACAGTAGCGCTCGCCAGTCCCTCAGGTGTGAACATGACACGTGTCTGTGTGTCCGGGCTGCAGTTGGGGGAAGAATTCTGGGGCACTTCAGGGGGCCCATCGTCAATACAGCAGATGAGGATTTGGGATTGTGTTACAAAGTTTCCTTAGGTTGACGGTTACTTAATGACTTTATTTACTGAAGAGGAAACAGCCCTTCACAGGTAAAATGGCCAAAAGAAGCTCCTCAAGAGAGCTTAACCTACTCTCCAGATCCTGTGGATTTGGCTTTTGTAAAGGACATGAATGACTTACTTCCAGGGACAAGTCTATTTTAGCTCAATCTTCACCATTTCTTTTCAGCAGCCACACGTGTTTACAGGCCGTGAAACTAGATTTACAACCATTCTGCAACCAGCAAGGACTTCTGCAGTCTAATTTCAGCAAGACGGAAGGTAGCTGATGCAGCTGCGTGCTCCTTTCCATCATGTGCGGAGCCACGGCGGGTTCTGATGTGCATACTGGCGAGCTGTGGGGACACCAGGAGGGAAGTGGCCTCCCAGGGGCACCCGGGGGAGGGGGGGCCCAAGCCACCTAAGGTGGCAGGCACCTGCATCCATATGGTCTGCCAGTGCAGGTGCCCTAAGGCTACAGTGAGGCCTAAGGAGAGGAAGAAGTATTTAAAAAGTGAAGATAGTGACATTTTCAATGCTTTATAATACATGCCACTGTGCATTATAGCATATCATGCAGATTTATCCAGGGCTAAAACGTATGAATACATTTCATTGCTAAGAAGTTAAATTGGTATTTATTTCACTGTAATAAAAATGTTATTCAAGATAATTAAATGGCTGATTAAATAACTCATTGTTAGCCCATATACATAATTTAATTAACAGGATACCCCATATTATTAAGATCACACACTGTTGCAATACCCTGTATGCTCACTAGATGGCAAGAGAGTGCATATGCTTGGCTTGGCTTTAATTGCAACATTTTTGCCTCCTTTTTTTAACTCATGAAAATGAAAGCTTAAGCTGAACTTTCAAATTAAATCATGTCCATTGTAAAAGTATTTTTGAAATGCAATAATATGTTCTGTACTGAGTCCCAGCAATACAGGAAGAAGACTCACATTCGGAGCCTGGTGGTGGTGTTACTACCACAGTGCCACAAAGAAAAGCCCATTCCGTCGTTTTCTATTAATGTGTCTTAAAATGCAAATGAAAGCCCGCCAGTGGAACAGGGAACTTTCCTCCCTGGGGAGTTTTAGCCCCATGATTAGTGAAACGTCAGTCCTGTGAATTTATAATTGATTCTTCATGTCTTTGCATAAGAATGTTCCGGCAAGCTGGTGACTTTCAGGTGACGCTGACAATGCCCTCAGCAGGTGGAGGCCTACTGCGGACCGCCCAGACCGCCAGGTGGGGGTGTCAGGGCTGGCCACAGGCAGCACAGGGAGAATGGCCTGTTTTGGGAGGCAGAGGGGTCAGGCCGGGTGCTTCGGGGTCACCTGGTTGCTGGCCAAGCCTTGGGTGGTGAAGAGGCCACCAGGGCAGGGGAGCAGGAGGGCCTACTTTTCACTCCCACTCAGAGGTGGGCAAGCCCTGCTGCAGAAGCCAGAGGGGGCTGGAGAAGGGAAGGGGGCGGGTGGGAGGAGGGTGAGGACCAGAACAAAGCACCTGTGCGGGCCACCTGACCTCAGTGGGACTATCTCAGGAGTGGCAGCGGAAGAAAAACCTGCTCTGAGCAAAACCACAGAACTTGAAAACCGTAATTTCCTTTATCCAGTGTGTTGAAGGAGAGGAGAGAGCTGTGTGAATGTCAGAGCTGGGAGGGATTTCAGAGATCTCAGATCTATGCCCTTATTTTAAGGAGGAGGCTGAGGCTTGCAGTAGTGCGAGGCTGCGTCACGGTCGCTTGCTACCGAGGATGAACAGGACGCCGAGTCTCCTTGTGCGTCCAGCCTGACGTAGACGCAGAAGCGCAAAGGCAGCGGCCCCGCACTGGGCACTGGGGCTGCGCTAAAGCCGGGGTGCGGGCTGCACGTCTTCCTGATGGAATGCCTGAGCCACTGATGGCTGTGAATCTATACCCGCACCCAGCCTGCTCGGAGCAGTGCCCGGGGTCACAGTCACCTCTGGGGATGCTGCAGGGTCCGTGCATAAAGCAGGGCTGCCACTTCAGGGTTCATGACAGAGCCCGTGAGCACAGTTCTCCGCTGGTAAATTGCCTGCTCTGCCTTGCTGAAAATCAAGCTCAGGAATGACCTTGGCCCCATGAAAGCCGCATGGGTGTGGGAGTTAAGGTCGCTGTCTTCGAACAGCCCAGGAGGTGTTACGAGCACTGCTCCGGAGCGCCTGCTGCTAGCTGATTCCTGCAGTAGCTCTCAGTACGCACAGCTGGCTGCAGGGACACTAGCTCCACACAGGGCACCCTGATGCCCAGTGTGGGAGGTGAGCCAGGTGTGGGGTGCGTTCCAAACAAAGAGAGGAGCCAAAAAACACCGTTGCACAGGCTGGCGAGAGCCAGGAGACACGGAAAAACAGATGACAGCCTCAGTTCAGCTCCTTGATTTCTAAGCTGTTTCCCTGCGGGCTGAGAGCTCTGGGGTGACGTCCTAAGAAGGTCTTGTGGGGAAGCCTGTCTTCAGGTGTTGTAAGCATCAATCATAAAATCAAAACCATGAGGTGAAAAAAACACCCTCCACGAAGATAGGGAGAACAAAGGACACCTTCTGGGGATGGAGTTCAGAGAAAAATGGGGGAAAATGAACAATACTTTTAATTAAATCATTTAGACCCACATTTCAATAATGAAATCTGATCATCTAAATTCTACATTCTGTTGAAATTTCTTGCAGTAGAAATAAAGTACATATAGCCCCATAATGTGTCACTGGGCTCCCTGTTAAGCCAGTACTTAGCTGGCTTCTCTGCACGGCCGGTCCCTGCCAGCATCTATTATACCAGCGGCTCCCTCGCGGCTCCCACTGACCCCGCTCTTCCAGATCACATGGCAGCCCTGCTTGGCCACCCACGTACCTTCATCAGGAGCAGACAGTTTGCCATGGAGTACATCACCCGGCCCAGACGTGACCTCCACAGCCGGATAGAGGCTACAAGGTAAGAGCAGCCTGTAAGTGCACAAATAAATTCGAGGCTCTTTCTAGCCCTCAATTACTGGGTCCTGTGAATTCTAATTTAACTTTAAAAGATCCCTCTTGTTAACACCACTGGATTTCGGCCTGGAATGCTGAATATGCTGCAGGCTGCACTGAGGCAGAAAATACAGCACTCGCATTGGGACCAGAGGTGGCTTTGGGAAGAGACCCTCGGCATCAGAGAACCAGGAGGGTGGCTGCTCAGCATCAGCCCAGACACAAGGCCAAATGGTCCGACCGGGGGCCCCGTTTCCAAAGCCAGAACCCTGAGAAAAGGAGCAAAGCTGACAGAAACGACGACATTGCCTGCAGCTCGACAAGGCTGGGAGGGCCACTGGCCAGGGTGGCCGCCAGCCTCTCGCAGTTGACCTATGGGAGGCCACCCGGAGGGCCCCACCCATGCCCAGCCATGAGGCCTCCCCTGCCTCCCGACCATGGGCTGGTGCAGACGCCGGTTCCCCCAAGGAGTGCTACACCGTGTTCCAGAACTCAAGTGGCTGGCACATTCCGCTGGGGACTCGGCACTCCCCTGCAGCTGGCTTCCTTCCCTAGCACCTGCTGCCACACGGTGGCTGACCGCGACCCTGAGCCTGGCCCGTCCCTCCCTGCTCTCCCCTGCACATTATTTAGTTAGCAGCCATCCCTCCACTGATTTCAAACCTTCAGGGCCCATCTCTTCTAGTAGTTTCCAAACTGGCTTTGTGGCCTTCTTGGGGTCTGCAAAGGTCCCCTGGGAGCTGCCCTGGGGGGAGGGTGGGCTGACCAATGGTGCCTGTTTATCATTGGGATGACCAGGAGGAAGGCGCAGGTTGAGGACTGAGCTAATCTGAAATGAACATATTATTGACAGGCAGGCTGAGGTCCACAGAGGCCAGGGACGCTTCCATCTGACCCCTTGTCCAGCGCTCCTTGCGCCTGTGCTGTGTCTACTTCCTCGAAGAAAAGTCCACACTTCCAACTGCAAAGTGCCAAGATGCCACCCTGGGCAGCACCAGGCCCTGGGAGTGCTCCTGGCCTCCCTCATCGCTGGGCACTGGGAGCCGTGTGTCCCTGGCTGCCTCTGAGGCTGTGATTTAGGAGGCTGAAGCTGACCCACCGCTGGCACCAAGCGTCCACTGTGAGATAACAATCACCTAGAAATGATGTGCATTTACGGTGTGCTTCAGGAGAACACACAGAAACTTAATTGCTAGAATTAAAAACTTAACTCACTTTGCCTTTCAGCAATGAAAAACACATTAGCTGCTTATGTTCCCCTTATACCATTATTTTTGTGAAAAGAAATTCTGAATATCTTCTCTTAATGGATGTAAAATATGGATTGTCTCAATGAATTGCATATTTATTCTGATGATCTTTGCAGATTCCTTTCCTGCTCTAAATCCTCCCCTACCCTCCTTATAAATGCTCATGGGTGTGACCTTCTGTTAGATTTCCAGGAACAGCCTTCTGCTCTCTGATAACTACATGCTCATTCCCACCAAAGCAGGAGCCCAACCAGGGGTAAAATGACTGGTTGCCAAGAATGCTGAATGGGACATCCATGAGCAGACAGTGCCGTCTCTCCTTCAGACCTTGTTACTCTACCTGCAATTAAATTACTGAAAAGAGAGTGCACAAGTGCACACACATGCACACACCACACCCACACCACATGCCACAGCATGCACACCCAACATCCACACACCACACACATACACACCTCACACACGTTCAGCTCACACCAGCCAGCAGTTCCCCAGAAACCCCAGCACACCTGCGGAAACGGAGACCACCCGATCTTGACTTGGGCTGCACATCGAGTAGGACAGAAGCTGTGGGAAGGAGGAGATGACCAGGCCACCAGGCCTGTGGGGAGATGCTGCCACAAGGAGTGAGGGAGTGAGGCTAGGGTGGGGCTACCTGGGAGGGAGCACTCAGGCCAGGTTTCCAAGCATGATCGGAAGCTTGCTCCTGGCTAACGCACTCCCCGAGCTGCAGCTGGCATGGCCTCACTGTGCAGATCAGCTCATGTCAACCCACCCAGTCCCCCAAGGGGTTTCCAATGCTCCAGGGAACTGCCCAGGTCCCTCAGCCTGCCCCAGGCTCTGGGCCTTCCTCTCCAGCTCCTCCTGAAGCACCCTCCCGAGCCTCTGTCCCCGACGCAGAGGCCTCTGTCCCCGACGCAGAGGCCTCTCTCCCCGACGCAGAGGCCCCTCTGGGCCCCTTCGGCTGGGCTGGGCTCCTTCCTCGCGCCCACTCAGACCACTCAGCGTGGCAGGTTCCGGGCCGTGTGCTTTTGTGGTGAAGGCGTGTCTTCTCCCCGGGCGCAGGGTTCGGGTCTGAGGCTGCACGTTGCACCCACAGCATCACCCAGTGATGTGCTTGGCTTCCCCAAGAAAGGAGTGAGTTGCAAATGCACGAGTGGACACGTGCAGTGCTGACTACAGAAAGGAAAGGAGAAGGAGAGGAAGCGAGAGGCTTTGGGCTCAGTCTGTCAGTGATGTCCGAGAAGCATCTAGTCAGCAAAGTCCGGCCGACCCACCTTGTCTGCCCTCCTGAGTCACGCTGCTCATGCCGCCGTCTTCTGCTAAGCCTTGCTCCAAATTGGCCAGGATCTGCAATCATTCCAAATGAGAAGGACAAAATCATGGGAACCAATTTTTGTCTAAGACTTTGTTATAATATAATCTCAGTACAGCAAATTTCTCTGGATGAAAACAATTTGTCAAGGGATGTTCACACATACTTTTAAAAAATATTAAAACATTTGATATTTTATTTATTTTAAATTGCAACTTTATTTTAGATTCAGGAGGTATGTGTGCAGGTTACCTGGGTATACTGGGTGATGCTGAGGTTGGGGTACGATTGAAGCCATCACCCAGGTAGTCAGCATGGGACCCAACAGATCATTTTTCAGCTCTTCCTCCCATCCCACCCTCCCCCCACTGGTAGTCTCTGGTCTATTTTTTGTCCATGTGAATCCAATGTTTAGCTTCTACTTACATGTGAAAACATTCACTATTTGGTTTTCTGTTTCTGTGTTAATTCACTTAGGATAATGGCCTCCAGCTGTATCCATGTTGCTGCAAACAACATGATTTGGTTCTTTTTTTACGGCTGCGTAGTATTCCACAGTGTATGTGCACCATCTTTTCCTTATCCCGTTCGCCCACAGGGACACACTGTAAACATCACCAAGTCCCTATGGCGTGGGGCGACAGTGAATGGGGAGGGACTCTGCTCCCAGCTGATGGTGAAAGTGGTGTTTATGATGTTCTTGAAGTATCTGCAGACATCATACATGGGGAATATGTTTTTTAAGAAAAGCATCAAGCCTGTAATCCCAACACTTCTGGGATTGAGCGGTGGCTCAAGCCTGTAATCCCAACACCTTGGGAGGCCGAGGCAGGTGGGTCACTTGAGCCCAGGAGTTAGAGACCAGCTGGGGCAACATGGCAAAACCCCATCTCTACAAAAATACAAAACATTAGCTGGGCATGGTGGTGTGCGCCTGTGGTCCCAGCTACCTGGGAGGCTGAGGTGGGAGGATCACCTGAGCCTGGGAGGTCAAGGCTGCAGTGACCAGGGACTGCACCACTGCACTCCAGGCTGGGTGACAGAATGAGACCCTGTCTTTAAAAAAAAAGCATGGAGAATGTCACATGAGACTGATGATGACCTTTTGTGAAGATGTCAGTCTCATTCCTACAGGGCACCGTGCTTCTGGCCTTTTTAACGTACCAAATACGTTTTGTGCAACGTGTCGCTTCCCGGTTTTACCACTTGCTTTTTAACTTTTGGGCACTTTTTTTTGTGTTTTCTTCTCTGAAAGCAAAGCTGCTGTAGCCGCTGTGATCTGGGTAGAGAATTTAGATCGTCTTGCCAGTTAACACTCCCCACACGGCCCACCCCAGGAGGTGAGGATTTCCGCTGGTCCGACTCCCCGGTCTCTACCTGCTGAGGATGAAAGCAGCCTCTCCTCACCTGCAAGGGACACTACTTAACAGAAACTGGAGAACAATTTGCTGCCAACACAAAGGATGTTTCCTCTTAACCGTTATCTTGGGCTACCTCGATGACTCAGGGGACAAGGTGGGGTTCAAAATTGTAACCTTGAAAAGAATCTAGCCAGTTTAAACTAGGTAAAACGACATTCTTCAGTGAATCTGCCTTCTAATGAATGATCATAAGAACAGAAACTGACAAAAAGGAAAGGCTTGGTGTTACCATGAAATTAACTTCCCTCACCCCTTGTCCACAGTTGGTGGGAATGTACATCAGTGCAACCACTAGGGAGAACAGTTTGAGGTTTCTACAAAAAAACAAAAAATAGAGCTACCATACAACGCAGCAATCCATGCCTAGATATATACTCCAAAGAAAAGAAAGGAAATCAGTCTATCAGAGATCACTGCACACCCGTGTGTGCTGCAGCACTGTTCACAACAGCCAAGACTTGGAAGCAACCTAAGTGTCCATCAGCAGACAAGGGGATAAAGGAATTGCCATATATACACGATGGAGTACTCTTCGGCCATAAAAAAGAATGGTATCCTGTCATTTACAACAGCATGGATGGAACTGGAGGTCACTGTGTTAAGTGACATACGCCAGGCACAGAAAGACAAACATCGTATGTTCTCACTTATCTGTGGGAGCTAAACTTTAAACAACTGAACTCATGGAGATGGAGAGCAGGAGGATGGTTACCAGAGGCTGGGAACAGTAGTGGGGGATGGAGTGGGGATGGTAATGGGTACAAAAAAAAAATAGAACAAATAAGACCTAGTGTTTGCTAGTACAAGGGTGACTACAGTAATTTAAGTGTACGTTAAAAAAATAACTAAGGGAGCATAATTGGATTGTTGCAACACAAAGGATCAATGCTTGAGGGGATGGATACTCCATTTACCCTGATGGGATTATTACGCATTGCCTGCCTGTATCAAAATATCTCCTATAACCCATAAACACCTACTATGTATCTACAAAAATTAAAATTTATTAAAAAAAGGAAACTGACTTCCCTTAGGCTAGTGTAGAGGGAGCACAGGAAGAAAGAGGGACGGGACACCTATCACAGAGGCAAAGCCGCTGCCCGAACCAGACCTGACAGCGCCCTGGTCAGCGGAGCCTCGAACACGCCCACTGGCGGTCCCCGGGGTGTGGCGCACCAGGTCAGCAGACTCCTGAGCTTGTTCTGCGCCTCCGCACACCACGGGAGCCCTACGGGCCTGGGTGACCTCCTCACGTGGCGGGGTCTAGGGGTCTGGGCAAATCCTCTATGCGGCGAGGTCTCTGTGGGTCTGGGCCATCTCTCCATGCCATGGGCGATCTCTCCACGTGCTGAGTGGAGGAGAAAACCCTGCAGAAACACCCCAGACCTCTGTAGTGAGCACGCAAGGCCTGAGAGAAGACCCGCACCACAGGGCCATGGTGGTCTCAGCACAAGCTGCGCTGGGGCTGACGTTCCCTGTGGACTATCACGGCCAATGAGGGGAGAAGGGGGAATGAGGTCCTTCAGAAGGGCAGCAGGAAGAGAAAGGTCTAGAAAAAAGGAAACAGAGTTTCCCACCCCAATGATGCATAAATGCAGAAACAGAGGCTCCATCTTAGCAGAGGCATCAAACGCAGAGCATGTGAGTGACGGGAGCTCCACCTGCAGCAGCTGCTTTTGGCCCAGACCCACCTACCCAGCTGGGAAGGCGCAGGGGTAGGAGACGGAGACACCAGGCAGGCTACACCCCTCCAGACCCATCTACCCAGCTGGGAAGGTGCAGGGGTAGGAGACGGAGACACCAGGCAGGCTACACCCCTCCAGACCCACCTACCCAGCTGGGAAGGCGCAGGGGTAGGACATGGAGACACCAGGCAGGCTACACCCCTCCAGACCCACCTACCCAGCTGGGAAGGCGCAGGGGTAGGACATGGAGACACCAGGCAGGCTACACCCCTCCAGACCCACCTACCCAGCTGGGAGGGCACACAGGTAGGACACGGAGACACCAGGCAGGCTACACCCCTCCCTCTGCAAAAAGCACTCTCCTGGCTGGGGCAGAGGGACACACAAAACGACGCCAAGTGCCTGCAGGGATCTGGGTCACTGAGGTGCTTCAGCCCGAGAAGGGGACAGCTGGAGAAAGCCCCTATTGTTGACAGGAACATAGGCATATCAGACACAACCTTCTGACCCTCAGTGACTATTGTTTTATTTGTAGGGTGTGTCATTTAATGTCAATTGATAGGTCCCAGTGTGATGCAGAAGAGCATCCATGAGTGAAAGGAAAAGAAACAGCAGTTCACAGTTGGTAGCTTTTATTGCTGTCTATCTAGAGACAGTTGTCTGGCTTTATAAAGTAACAGTACATTAATTTACAAAAGGTTATTTCTATAAAGGAAAGTGACAGACACGTTCTCAATCCAAAGACTGAATTATTTAGGAAATGCAGTTATTGCAAAAAAAGCCCGACAGTGTGTCGTTTGCAAATGTGGTGCGGCTGGAATTTCCTCCTTGGTTCCTTTTGCCCCAGACAAAAGGAGCAGACTCCAGGGTCTATATCAGAGACCAATCAGCAGTCCCGTGTTTGTGTCCCAGAAGAATAAAGGCCCAGCACGCCACACCCGGTTCGTTTGGGAAGAGGCTCTGAGGAGTAGGGGCATGATCCAAATCACTGCACCCACACCCTCCCTGCTGGAAGCTGCTGAGGGCCCAGGCGAGGGCATAGGAGGAAGAGGACAGAGATGAGGCAACAGTGCCAAGTGCTTCAGGAAGATGCACAGAGCAGTAAGCGACCAGCCACAGGGGCAGAAGGACTGTGGAGGGCAGAGTGACCACAGGGGCCGAGGGGCAGAAAGGGCCGGGTGTTGGAGGCACCTTCCTGCACATTCCCTGGGAGCTGTTCCCGACGGGTTGAAGCTGGGTCAGGAGCTCCATGGAGCTGTCTGGTCAGGCGCCGGCAGTGTGGGTGGTGCTTAGCGCCTGCTGGGAAGTACCGGGGACGATGTATTTTACAGATGGGGGCGCAGGATGGTTTTTAAGCACAAACAGTATTCTGTTTGATTTCACAAAAATAAACCTGTGGAGGAGGCAGCATCATGTCCATTTGCAGGGGCCCTTCACGCTTTCCACACACAGAGCAAAGTGCCGCAGTGACAAGAACAGGGATGTCCGGTGCCAGAAGACGTGGGTTCAAGTTCAGGCTGACCTTCAGCGTACCTTCAGTGTACCTTTTCTGAATTCCTATTTCCTTAGCTTCCCATTTTTTCACATGCCTGTTTTACAAATCATGGAACTCCAATGAGAATGTACTTGAAGCATTTTGTAAGCTTTAAAGATGCTGAATGGATATTAATTACAAATAAGAGGAGAAGCAACCAGAAATTAAACAATTCCACTGCCTCGGATTTTCCCTGTGGTTTCTCTTTCACCATCATCCCTGTACTAAACTGTGAAAGGTTTCGATATGTGGGATCGGGGAGCAATGAAATTAATGCTGCACTGACTATTAAATATTAAGTGGGTCTTTGAAACGTCCAGGAGCTTCCACAGCTCTGAGGTTTGGCTGCTGGGCAGTTTCAAGGTGCCTGGAGGTTGAAGGGAAGTCCTCTCGGAGCCCATGGGCCTCCCAGTACAAGCCGCATCCTGGCAGGGTTAAGTGCGGCTCACAACCACCAGGACGGGCTGGAGTGGAGGCAGGGGAGCCTGTCCTGCAGGGCCAGGAGAGGCCTGTGGATCCTGAAGTGGAACAGACCCAGCTGACCGGCCACAGTGTGGCAGTTTAAATGCGGCCATGCATTCCTGAGCACTCCTCAAAAGGCAGAGTCTCATTCCCATCCCTTGCGTGTGGCCTGGACTTAGTGACTCGTCTGACAAAAAGAACCAGGTGGAGGGGACATAGAGACCTCTGAGACCCGGCCGTGCAAGGCACTGTGGCTTCCTCCTCCTCCCTCCCTCTCTGCAGGGAGCCAGCTGCTATGCTGTGAGACGCACAAGAAGCCCTACAGAAAGAACCATGAGGCCAGGAACCCAGCCTCTCACCAACAGCAGCAGAACTCAGCGGGTGTATGACGGAGCCTCCCGGAGCCCAGTTCTCCAGCCCCAGCTGAGCCCTCAGGTGAGACACTGCGGTCACCATCTTAACTGCAACCTCAGGACAGACCTGAGCCAGTGCGACCCAGAAGCTGTGCTGGACTCGAGACCCACAGAAATAGGAAGGTCATACATCCCTGTGGTTTTAGCCCACAGAGCTGCAGATAATCTGTTAGGCAGCAACTGATGGTCAACACACAGGCAAATCCAAGTTACCCAGCACTTTCAACTGAAGGCTTTGCATGAGGAATAGTGTATTGAGGCCACTGTACTGAAACATGTTGGAGGGTTAGTTTTGTTTAATTTGAAAATTCTGGGCTGGACATGGTGGCTCACGCTTATAGTCAGCTGTAGCACTTTGGGAAGCTGAGGTGGGAGAACTGCTTGAGTCCAGGAGTTCAAGACCAGCCTGGGCAACAGAGTGAGACCCTATCTCTACAAAAAGTTTAAAAATTAGCCAGGCTTGGTGGTGCATGCCTGTAGTCCCAGCTACTCAGGAGGGCGAGGCAGAAGAATTGCTTGAACCGGGGAGGTCAAGGCTGCAGTGAGCCACGTTCATGCCACTGTACTCCAGTCTGGGTGACAGAATAAGACCCCCTGTCTCAAAAAAACAAAAAAGAAAAAAAAAGAAAATTCTGAACTGGGTTCTTCATTGGGTATCAGCATGAGCTCATCTCTGAAAGTGACTGTAATCATGAGAAGACGCTGCTTGGAAATGCAGGGAAGAGGAGTTTGGAGAAAATAACAGATGGAACAGCTGTAAGGCTGAAGAGACGATTCCAGACTCAGACTGCTCTGTGCATAGTGTGGAGGGGCTGCTGCCAGCCCCACCGTGGGGGATACTGCACTGGGCATGTCATGGCCGGTCCAGGGATGAACAGGCTTCAGGCTAACAAGGTGGGGAACCATCAACACCTGCCCACAGTATGGGAGGGAAGATCAATTATTCAAAATTAAAAACCTGCTTGTGTTTTGTCCAAAGAATGAAGAAAATTACACGCCTTGAATGAATATCCCAGCTGCTTGACTCCATATATAACCACTACCACTTGATCTCAAGCAATATTTAAAAAGGCAATTTGTAACCTATTCATATTTAAAGAGACCCAAATCTATGTTCTCATCCTATGCAGTTATCCAGGAGGTGGTGAAGCAGGTTTTCTGGCTGGGTCACTGACACCTTCAGTGTGGAAAGTGCTGTCTGCAGGGGGCCTTGAGGAAGGAGCCTTTGCGTCTGTCCCTTTGGCAGCTGTCACGGGTCGTGGGTGAGCACGGGATAGGTTTAGGGAACTGGTTTTATTCCCAAGGCATCTAGTATACAAACTACTGGGAAGCTGGCACTAAGCCAAGGACCTGAGAACTTACTAAGTGGACCCTTTTGAGTGGAGACTAAAGCTTGGAGCAGCTCTGTTCTGGAGAGACTTAGATTTTGGAAAGTCCTGCGACCTTCCAGTCCCACCACAGCTTCCCAGGGGACCTCTTCAAAGTAAAAGAGTCTTCTTGGAGCTGCTCCAAAGCTCTCAAAGAATCATGAAACACGGACCACGTGCCTGGCAGGCACCATGCGAGGTCACTGACGTGCGCCCCCTCGCCACCCCGGGGGGATCAGCAATGCTCTCACTTGCACAAAGAAGGCCGAAGCGGACACAGGCTGGAGGGCTGGTCATGCAGCCGGCACTTCAGAGCGGACCTGGAAGTTTCCAGACTGTCAGCCTGACTCCAAAGCCACTCTCACAACCACTGCTTTTGGGACAGTGTCCTCTGGGCCCCTCATACCTTGAAAATACACTTTCTTCTTTCTACTCAGATCACAGATTGACAGAACACATACTGCCGAGAAAAGCAAGGCAAAGAATGCACGATTTAAGAATCATCTTACATCAAAGGCCTCTTCTCTGGGCTATCATGCCCGCTTCAGGGCTGGGTCGCTGGCAAGGGCTATGGCCTTCGAGTTCACATTTGGTGCATTTGGTTTTGAATCGGGTTGCCACGGCTGGGTGGCGGGGTTGGGCATTCCTAAGTCCATGTCCCAGGATTGGCCACGATGAACTCTAGAGGTTTCTGAAGGTGTGAATTTCCACTGCCAGCCAGGTCAAGACATTCCCCTGGAAAGCCCTGATGCCCAGTGCTTTCCGCTCCCTCTTCTTCTTCTGCTTGCACATTCTGAACACACACGGGGTTCCAGGAGCATGGGCTTCAATGGCAAAGAGCAGGGAAGTGGCCTCGATGGATGGCCATCCTCACTCGGCCTTTCCTTTCTTCTCCCCACCTGCCAGTCATTCCCATCTCATCTGATTAAGCCACAATCAATTTGTTTTCTGTGGAAGCAGCAGAAAAGAAGGGCAACCAAACCCTCTGGGTCAGGCACGGTGATGGCAATAACTGGCCACTGTCGGTGTGCGGGTGGCCAGGCCCTGAGTCCTGGCCCTGACAGTGTTAGAGGCCAGCCACGCCTGTTCTCACTTATGTTTCTAACTTTGCTTAACAAATAAGACAGCAAAACTGAAGAATGTCCATCTGTCAAAAAACCCTTTTAGAAAAGATATTAACTCTTCCTACAAACAAAGCTCTCACTACCACATTAGCAATTATCAATAGAGAAGCAAAAGCTACATGGACATTGTTGAATACGTTTCTTTTCCGGAGTGCACGAAAATGTACCTTACCCTCTGCCTCCTCCAGCTGGGAGTGAGTCTGTAAAGAAGCACTTGGATGAACGTGAAACTCTCAGCCAAGCTGAGGTGGGGAAGCCGGAGGCTGCGGAACTGCAGGGAGGGATGGAGCTGAACTCAAGACTGGGCGGGCAGATGCAGGTCACTGACGAATGAAACTACAACCGAACAGTGCATCATTCCGTATGGATTATGTCTACTTATGCAAATGGCTTGCAGAAGTGTGTTTGCTTGGCTCTTTCCCAAATGGTCTGTGAAGCTCTCTCGACCCCAGAGGGAGACAGCCTGCAGGGCGCGTGGGAGGAGCAGGGTCAGAGGATGGCGGCACTGATTTTTCAGCAGCACGGGAAATTTATTTTAACTCGTGGTATATGTTCTTCTTCACTGATGCAATCACATTTGCAAACATTTACTAATTCACTCAGTGGCTCAAAGACAACAGATAAAACGAAGTACCCTGAACTCGTTTGTAAAGATCCTAAATGATGTCCTGCTAAAACTGGGCCCCATATAAAAATTCTCAACACTGTTCTAATCTAAAACACACATGCTGAACACAGACTCGAATCAGTCTTTGATGAATCTTCAACACAGGGGAAGTCGGCCCCCTAAGAATCCGTGGGGGATCAGCTTCCCGCTCTGCTCCCTTACCAGGAGCCTCGGCCCGGATTGTGCTCCCGGCACACGCCCTCCGCCCTCGTGTAACCGCGTAACCGGCTGCTCTCCACGCCCTACCCTCGCGTAACCGGCTGCTCTCCACGCCCTACCCTCGCGTAACCGGCTGCTCTCCACGCCCTACCCTCGCGTAACCGGCTGCTCTCCACGCCCTACCCTCGCGTAACCGGCTGCTCTAGACGCCCTACCCTCGAGTAACCGGCTGCTCTCCACGCCCTGCGGGAGGAGGAGCTAATGGAAAACGGCACCAAAGGAAATCATGTTTAACATTCTGGACTCATTTCTTTTCACTCTGTTTGACTCTCCTCACCCACTGGAAGAGTCCACAGTTCCCTGAATCTACTGAGAGCAATTTTTGGCAGGAGCAAGTGCAGTAGAGATTGCTAAAATTTCTGGAACTGTTCAAGTGACGCTTAAGACCAAACTTTAGAGCCCCTGCTTTACAAAGCATCAGAGAAAAGTCTGTATTTGGAGGAAAAAACCACAATCCTGATGGTCTAATTTCACAGAGAACCGCAGAGTGGTGCTCAAGGGTGAGGCTTCTGGAGCTGTGTGATGGGGCTCAGCCAGGCTCCATCGCTGCCTCACTGCAGTTGTCTGGGGAACACTTCACCTCCCTGAGGCCACTTTCCTCATCTGGGAACCGAGGATAATAAAATCACTTGCAGCTGCTGTGGGCATTAGTAGGGGGTAATCAACATAATGCATTCAGCACCTCACACATCCATGCAGCGTTAACACGTGACTGCACCTCAGTGCTGGGACACACAGCACGTGTCCTGAGCAGAGCTGTGTGTGTGCGTGTGGTTTGGGGCAGGTGTGGTGAATACTTTAAACAATGCAGCAAAGGGCAGTCCACGGACGGAGAGGTCTCACTAACACATCCTTAGTTTAAGACTTCCTGAGGATTTCCTGGAGTTGTGAAGGTCTGGGAAAATCAGAATGTCATGCTGGAGAACCCTGGAGTCTCTGGTCTGACCTCTCTCTTTACTCACCAGTGGAGAGCAGAGGGGATCAAAGGCCACACCAAGCCGTTCACTTTAATCCAGCAAATCAACACTGGCAGAATAGTGGTGGGCTGGCTTTTAGTATTTTTAGATTTTGCACTATGATATAGTTTGGACATTCATCCCCTCCAAATCTCATGTTGAAATGTGAGCTCCAGTGTTGGAGGTGGGTCCTGGTGGGGGGTGTTTGTGTCCTGGGGGTGGATCCCTCATGGGTGGCTTGGTACCGTCCCTATGGCAATGAATGAGTTCTGGCTCTGTTAGTTACCTTGGGATCTGATTGTCAAAAAAAGTCTGGTGCCTCCCTCCTCCTCCTCTTCTCTCTCGCTGTCTTTCTCACCATGTGACACACTTGCTTCCCCTTTGCTTTCTACTATGATTAAAAGCTTCCTGGCCAGGCGCAGTGGCTCATGCCTGTAATCCCAGTACTTTGGGAGGCCAAGGCGGGTGGATCATTTGAGGTCAGGAGTTTGAGGCTAGCCTGGCCACCATGGTGAAGCCCTGTCTCTACTAAAAATAGAAAAATTAGCCAGGTGTGGTGATGGGCGCCTGTAATCCTAGCTACTCAGGAGGCAAGGCAGGAGAATCGCTTGAACCTGGGAGGTGGAGGTTGCAGTGAGCCAATAGCGCCACTGCACTCCAGCCTGGGTGACAGAACGAGACTCCGCTTCAAGAAAAAAAAAAAAGCTTCCTGAGGCCTCACTGGAAGCAGATGCTGACACTGTGCTTCTTGTACAGCCTGCAGGACTGTGAGCCAAAATAAACCTTTTCTTTATAAATGACTCACCCTCGGGTATTCCTTTATGGCAAAGCCAGATGGACTAATACACACTTCTTGAGTAAAGAAATTCTAGCATGAACACAAACTGTCCCTTTTTAAATTCTGGAGGATCATGATGTATTGGTGATGGCTGCAAACCTAAAAGGAACAGGTGAAACAAGCATCGTCTACCAAACTGTAAACTCACTGAGGGCGAGGCTGCGTTCTGTTGAGTCCCGAACTGCCAGTGTGCAGTACTCAGTAGGTGCTGAAAGGGCATTTGCTGCATGAACAAATGAACAAGCTCAGATAGAGCTGTTCTGGACAGCGTGGAGACGCATTGCTCCATGTCCCCGCAGTGCCCACTGTTCACATCCAGATAAAAACTGCTTCAGTTCAACACTGAACCAGCCGCAGAAAGGTCAAGAATGCCCACATGCGGCCATGAGCCCCTAACGTGCAAGGAAGTGAGCGAGGAAGTTGGCGACGGTGCTTCTTCTCCTGCCAAAGGTGGCGGACAGGCAAGGCTGACTATATGGTCATGCCCTGGGTCTTTCCCTCTTGGTCCAGGCATCCACCAGCTGTGCCACAGTGCAGCTCTCTCTCTCAAGAGGGTGTCAAATTTTAAGTCAGCACATAAAGGAACACATAGTAATTACATATTGAAATTAACGGTGAAAATCCTTTAAGGTGAAGACCAACACACACCTTTTCATAAATCCAACTGCTTGTTTTTCTTCCAGGATTAGAACGAATTGCGATTTCCTCATTTAAGTACCATAAGGAGTGTTGGCTTAGATTTGGATCATGCCATGGAAAAGATATGTATCTTTAAACATGAGAGATACCTGAAGTGCGGTTATGTATTCACAAGATGAGAGGCAGGTGGAACTGTAGACCAGCGGAGGGAACGAGAAGCATGAGTGGCTCTCTCACTGACGGTGGCCCCACGCCCAGTCAGCCTGAGAGAAACGTTCCTAGGATGTGACTGCACTAACCCTTCTCGTTTCTCCCCAACCCTACGATGCTTAGCTGTCAACTGCTGTTGCTTGGAAGCCCCCTCAAGAGTCTCAGGAGGGCCCAGCCCAGCAGAGCACAGGCTCGAGCCCATCTCCAGGCATCAGTCAGGGGGAAGGGGCAGGGCCCCATTCAGCACAGGGGTCTTCTGAGCAGATGTCAGTTGACCCCGGACAGCACTGTCCTTTCTTGGAGCAGAAATGCTGGTGCAGGGTGGAAGAGAGGACTCTCGGTCCTTCTGTCTTCAAACGGGACATGTTATAGTGATGAAGCCAGGCAAGTGATGAAGAGCATGGACTTTAGAGCCAGATGACTTGGGTTCAACTCATGTGATCCTAAGTTACCTAACCTATCTGTGCCTCAGTTTCCCCATCTGTAAATTGGGATAATAACATCTCCTTCATAGGGTTGTGATAAGGATTAAATGAGTTAATATTGGAACTCAGAGCAGTGGCTGCCTCATAATGAATGCAACAAAGGTGTCTGTCAGGTGGAGTAAGTGCAGGTGCCCAGAGCAGCGGTGTGGGAAGCTCCTGCTCTCTGCTCCACCGTCCCTGCTGCTTCATAGCTAGTGCTAAGTGGCTCCTCTCATCGTTACACTGTAGTATGCAGTTTTTCTTTTTTTTTGAGACAGAGTCTTGCTCTGTTGCCCAGACTGGAGTGCAGTGGCTTGATCTCGGCTTACTGCAACCTCAGCCTCCTGGGTTCAAGCGATTCTCATGCCTCAGCCTCCCAAGTAGCTGGGATTACAGGCATGAGCCCCTGTACCCAGCCTGTAGTATGCATTTAAGGAGCATAATTCTGAAATAGGACATACTTCAGGACCAGGAAAGCTGACTTGCAAAACTACTTCAACTAACTTGGCTTTTCCATCCACAAATCACCCTATGGCCCAGAATTTTCTCTCTCAAATACTATAAAGATTTCCTACAATGTGACATGGAGGATAATGAAAAATTCGTATAGTTTAGAAAGTCACTGATTTAGAACTTCTCAATTTCAAGTTATGTGCTTCCGATTTCTGTAAATAAAATTAAACCCCGTTTTAAGATTCAAGAAAAGTGTTGAAATGTAAAAAAGTTGGTAACATGATTCTCCATCAACTGATATAGTACAGAAAGCAAACAATTTTTCTTTTTATCTTTTAAGTTATGGTAATAAAAAAATGGAAGTGGGTACAAAGCCCAGGACAACAAGGGGCCTAGAAACGCCTGTTTTTTCTCCACAGATAAGGATAAAGAGGGCCCCTTCCTTCCTTACTAGGAACACTGTTAACACCATCATCTTGGAACTCCGCAAAACTTCTACCACAACAGTTAGGAAGTGAAAGGAGGAATCTGACAAGAAGAATCTTAGTTTTCCCAAAAATTATAATATGCTGCTGCTCCTAATAACTGCTTGTTGTTGTAGTTTTCAAAGTACTTCCGCATACCTTATGTCACTGAACCTATACAGGAACACTGTGACGTGGGTAGAAAGGCAGGATCATTCCTAATCTGAGATGAATACTCTATAACAACCTGTAGACAGCAAAGTCTCTGAGTCCCACATTTCTTCCCAATGTCAGTTAGTGTAATAACGTGCCACTTTGGTGGCTCCCACATTAACTGTGACTTCACAACCAAGAATGAGTCCGAAAACACTCCGACTCTGCCTTTGCAGTCAGGATCATGAGTGACAGTTGCCATAATGCAGAAGCACTTACTTGGATTTGAAAGCTTAAACCATGATTGCTTTCAGTACTGCTCCGGTACCTCTGTCTGCACGTGGCAGGTGCGTGTGGGCACTTGTGGGACACAGGGGTGGTCTGGCACACTGACCTTGAAGCTTCAGCTGGCAGCCTTGGCAAGAAAGATGTCTCTGCCTTTCAGCTTCCCATAGTACCAGGCAGTAAGAATTACAGGACTCAAGCTCTGCTAGAAACTCTTACCATCCCTAAAAAAGATTTCAGCAAGAGCCACGACTACCAGGCCACACAAACCGGGTCACCTAGCCTTCTGAAGGCAGAAGCAGCGATGGTGCATGGGGCAGGACGGGCAGGGAACAGCACGGGCATGTCCTGTGGGGAGGGCGTGGAGGGCATGTTCTCCCCGTGGCAGGGAAGAATGACAGCGCCACCTACCTTGCTGCAGACAGTCTTCACCTTGTGCAGTCTATCCAGCGACTCCTGTGGGTTCCCCAGGTACTGCTGAAGCTCCGCGTGCAAGATGCGCATCGAGAAGGGGACCATGGAGCCTGGAATCCAATCAGTGCTGAGTGAGTTTGTTTGCCATAACTGAGCACGCATTCATACTTGGCACACTTGAAGGAGGCGTCGCAGATGTCCCAGCAGAAGTGATGACAGATCCCTTTATTTCTTGTGAAGTATTTAACGGTGTCAACTATAAAATACATGCTGGTTTTCTCTATGGAGCTCTATGTATGTATGTCTCGACAATTATCAGAGGAGACAGGTGGATGACACCACAATTTCCAAAGCTACACTGCAATCATTTAGAAATGATCCCAAAATGAATGAAACAGTAGAGACCGCCAACCCCTCCTCCAATAAAAGAAAAACCAGAATGCTCAGATATTCTTTAATATTTCTTTAGTTTAGCAAGCTCGAATGGTAGGTTGCTTAGCTTGGGTTCCCCAGAAGGAGACCCTGAAGGGAGAAGCCGTAAGCCAGCCAGTGGTTCCGGAAGTGCTCCCGGGAAAACCAGTGGGGAGGAGGCGAAACTGAGCACAGGTGCGTCTCAGGCCTCGGCCCTGGGGATGGGCCTCCCACTGGATTCCATGTGGCCCTGGAGCCTGCGTTCCACCTCTGACAGGAGGCAAGGGAGCTGGACTTGAAAAATCCATCACCCAGAGCTGCCTGGCTTTGCGTGCGCTAAGAAGAGGAAGAAGCTCAGGAGAAACCCCCTTTATATCGTATCACCTGTGGCTGCATCATCTCTCAGGGTAAGGTCAACTTTTTGTTAATATTGTGTTCTCTTCTAATAGGATTTGGAATTTGATCTGTAGTATGTATACTAAGTAGATAACAATCATCAAAAAATCAAATAGCGTGCACTGATTATAAATGAGATAAAGAATAGAGAAATGCCAGAGGGCAATCACATAGATTCAGTAAAGTGCTTTTCAAAATAGGCCTAAGCGATGAATATTCGGATCTGGAATATAGTCTGAAAGATGGTGAGAAAACACGCGTATGACTTCTGCAAGCCACTTAATGTATCTGTGCCTCAATGCATCCATCTGTCTATTCATTAACCATTACTGAGAATGGGCCGTGACCACACTGAAATGAGCTTTATGTTTATGGTCTTTAATAACAAAGGTCCAAAAAGAAGACAGTCAAAATTAAGGAACACTATGGAAAACAGTTCTATTGTGATTATAAGCCTGGAGAAAAGAAAGGTAACAATTATTGAACTTAAAATGTTTAAACTTTCTTTTTTGATGCCACTAAATAATTTCTGTATCTCAAGAGAATATCTGGCCGAGCTTAAGTTACAGCCTGAGTCACTTCGGTTTTCTAGAAATAAACATTTCTAGACCATCCGCATAATGACACAGGGGACTGGCCTACAATTAAGTCATATGTAAGTCATGTCACTGTGGAACCGGCCCAACATGGTAAGTTATATGTAAGCCACGTCACTTCCATCCTTCTGTCTCAAGTAGAGAAGGGGCCAGAATCACTCCTGTGTGGTTTATCACTTACCACAAGGGAGAGAATATCTCAAGAACCCTTCAAGCTCTATAAGATAAGCACAGAAACAAACCTCTACTGGAAGTTCTCAAACCCAACTTGGGACTAGCTGTTAATACTCCGATCTCAGTTTACAGACTAGCTGTTAATACTCCGATCTCAACGTACAGACTAGCTGTTAATACTCCGATCTCAATTTATAGACTAGCTGTTAATACTCCGATCTGGAATACAGTTTGGTGGATGGTGAGAAAACAGGCTGTGTGACTCCTGCCACTTCACCTGAGAAGGTGGCAGAAAGTTAGCTGCCCCTTATCCTGACAACTGCCCATGGACATGGGGGTGCTTCTGGATGTAAAAGCACATGTGAAAATATTTTGAACTAAGTGAAAATAAAAATACAACTTATCAAAATTTGTGGGATGCAGCAAAAGCAGTGCTGAGAGGAAGCTTTTTAGCATTAAATGCATATATTGGAAAAGAAAGATCTGAAACCAGCTTCACCTTTGAAAACTAGAAGGAAAGAAAGAGCAATATAAGCCTAAAGTAAGCAGTAGAGAAGAAAATAATAAAAATATTATTTTATTATAAGAAAATAAAATATTTTATTATAAGAAAATAATAAAAATATTATTGTATTATAATAAGAAAATAATAAAAATATAATAATAAAAATTAGAGCAGAAATCAGTGAAACTGAAAACAGGAAATCAATAGACAAAATCAACCAAACCAAAAACATATTCTTTGACAAGACCAATAAAACTCTGACAAGACCAATAAGTCTCTCCCCAGGCTAGTCAAAAAACAGAGAAGACATAAACAACTAGTACTAGAAGTGAAGGACTATTACTATGGATCCTATGAACAGTAAAAGAATAGTAAAGGAATATTATGAACAGCTCTATGTCCATACATTTGGTAACTTGGATAGAAAAAGAAAAACCTTTCCAAAAAGCAAGCCCCAGACCCAGATGGTCTCACTGTGAATTCCACCTAACATTTATGGAAGAAATGCTACCAGTTCTCTACAATCTCTTTCAGAAAACAGAAGCAGAGGAACGCTTTCTAACTTCTTATATGAGTCTGGCATTACCCTAATACCAAAACCAGACAAAGACGTTACAAGAAAAAAAAACTGTAGACCAATATGTCTCATGAACATAAATGCAAAAATCTTCAACAAAATTAGCAAACTAAATCTAAGAAAACTGAAGTCAACAAAAAATTAGCAACCAAATCCAACAATGTATAAAAAGAATTATGAACCATGACCAGACAGAATTTATTCCAGGTATGCAGGGGTGATCTAACATTCCAAAATCAATTAACATAATCTACCACATCAAACAGGCTAAAGAACAAAAATCATATCAATAGATGTAGAAAAGCATTTAACAAAATCCAGCACCAGCTCGTGATAAAAACTCTCAGCCAACTAGGAATAGAGGGAAACTTCCTCAACTTAATAAAGGACATCTACAAAACAACTGCAGCTAACAACAAACTTAAGAGTGAGAAACTCAGTGACTTCCCCCTAAGATCATGAATAAAGCAACAATGTTCCCTCTTATCTCTTCTACTGAACATTGTACTGGAAGTTCGAGCTAATGCAATGACAAGAAAACCAAAGGTACACAGACTGGGAAGAAGGAAATAAAACTACTTGTTTGCAATGACATAATTATAAAGAACAATCTCAAAGAACAAAAACACTTCTAAACTAGGAAGTGATTAAAAGTCACAGGATACAAGATCAATATGCAAAAGTCAACTGGCTTCCTAGATACTAGCAATAAATGATGGGAATTTGAAATTAAAAACACACTATCATTTCTACATAAATAAGTGAAATACCCACGTATAAAATGGACAAAATATGCACAAGAGCTATAGGAAGAAAACTATAAAACTCTGATGAAAAAATTCACAGAGCTGAAGAAATCAAGAGATATTCCACATTCATGGACAGGAAGACAATACTGCTAAAATATCAGTTCTTTACAACTTGACCTACAGATTCGATGCAGCCCCAATCAAAATCTCAGCAAATTATTTTGTGGTTATCAACAAAATGATTCTGAAGTTAATATGGAGAAGGAAAACACCCAGAACATCCAACACAATATCAAAGAGAGCAAATCTGGCAGGCTGACACTACCCACCTTACAGAGCTACTCTAAAGCTACTGTAAAAAAGACTGGGTGACTGTGTGGTCCTAGAAAAAGAACGGACAAATAGATCAGTGGCCCAGAGCAGAAAGACAAGAAATTGGTCCTCACAAATATAGTCAGTTTGATCTCTGACAAAGGAATAAAGGTAATTCAATGGAGAAAGGACAGGTTTTTCCAAAAATGGTGCTGGGACAACTGGACGTCCACATGAAAAAAAAAAAATGAATCTAGACACAGATCTTACATCTTACCCCAAAATGAACTCCAATAACAGACTACATGTAAAGTGCAAAAACTATACAACTTCTAGAACAGAACACAGATGAAAATCTGAGTGACCTGGGTTTGCTGATAATCTTTTAGATACAACACCAAAAACACCATCCATGAAAGAAAAAAATCAGTAAGTTGGACTTCATTAAAATTAAACACGTATGCTCTGTCCAACGTAGTATTAAAGTAATGAAGAGACAAGTCACAGATAGGAAGAAAATAGCTGTAAAACACCTATCTGATAAAGAACTTGTATTCAACATATATGAAGAATTCTTAAAAATCAACAACAGGCCAGGTATGGTGGCTGATGCCTGGGATCCCAGCACGCGGGGAGGCTGAGGCGAGCTGATCGCTTTTTTTTGTTTCTACAAAAAATACAAAAACTAGCCAGGTGTGCCTACAGTCCTAGCTACTCCATTGGTTGAGGTGGGAAGGCTGCTTAAGCCCAGGGGCTTGAGGCTGCAGTGGGCCATAACTGCACCACTGGACTCCAGCCTGGGTGACAAAGTGAGACTCTGTCTCCAAAAAACAGACAATGAGAAAACAACCCAATTAATAAATGGGCAACAGATCTGAACAGACATATCACCAATAAAGATTTATCAATAACAAGCATATAAAAAGATGCTCATCATCATATGTCATTAGGGAACTGCAAATTAAAACAATGAGGTAACACTACACACCTATCAGAATAGCGAAAAATCCAAAAAATGACAATACCAAAAGCTGGCTGAGGATGTGAATCAATAGGAACTCTCATTGATTGCTCTTAGGAAAGCAAAATAGTATGAAAGTTTTGGAAGATGCTTGGCAGATATTTACAAGGCTAAGAATACTTTTACCATAAGATCCAGCAATCACAGTCCTAGAGATTTACCCAAGGATTGGAACTGATAAAGGTGATAAAACTTGTATCTACACAAAACCCTGAAAAAGAATGTTTATAGTAGCTTTATTCATAATTGTCAAAAACCAGAAGCAACCAAGATGTTCTTCAACAGAGAAATGGATAAATAAGCTATGGTATATACATAAAATGGAATATTATTCAGAGATAAGAAACGTACTATCAAGCAGAAAAAGACAGCGGAACCCTAAATGCACATTCCTAAGTGAACGAAGCCAATCTGAGGACCACATACTGTATGATTCCAACTATAAGACCTTTGGAAAAGGGGAAACTATGGAGACAATGGAAAGACTCCAAGCTCCCAGGGGTGATGGGGGATTAACCCAGGGGGATGGGGGGATTAATCCAGGGGTGAGGGGGGATCAATCCACGGGTGGTGGGGATTAACCCAGGGGGATTGGGGGGATTGATCCAGGGGTGGTGGGGGGGTTAATCCAAGGGGGATGGGGTATTAATCCTGGGGTGATGGGGTATTAATCCTGGGGTGATGGGGGGATTAATCCAGGGGTGATGGGGGATTAATCCAGGGGTGATGGGGGGATTAATCCAGGGGTGATGGGGTATTAATCCTGGGGTGATGGGGTATTAATCCAGGGGTGATGGGGGGATTAATCCAGGGGTGATTGGGGGATTAATCCAGGGGTGGTGGGGGGATTAATCCAGGGGTGATGGGGTATTAATCCAGGGGTGATGGGGGATTAATCCAGGGGTGATGGGGTATAATCCAGGGGTGATGGGGTATTAATCCAGGGGTGATGGGGGATTAATCCAGGGGTGATTGGGGGATTAATCCAGGGGTGATGGGGTATTAATCCAGGGGTGATGGGGGGATTAATCCAGGGGTGATTGGGGGATTAATCCAGGGGTGATGGGGGGATTAATCCAGGGGTGATGGGGTATTAATCCAGGGGTGATTGGGGGATTAATCCAGGGGTGATTGGGGGATTAATCCTGGGGTGATGGGGTATTAATCCTGGGGTGATGGGGGGATTAATCCAGGGGTGATTGGGGGATTAATCCAGGGGTGGTGGGGGGATTAATCCAGGGGTGATGGGGTATTAATCCAGGGGTGATGGGGTATTAATCCAGGGGTGATGGGGGGATTAATCCAGGGGTGATTGGGGGATTAATCCAGGGGTGGTGGGGGGATTAATTCAGGGGTGATGGGGTATTAATCCAGGGGTGAGGGGGGATTAGCCAGGGTTGATTGGGGATTTATCCAGGGGTGGTGGGGGGATTAATTCAGGGGTGATGGGGTATTAATCCAGGGGTGATGGGGGGATTAATCCAGGGGTGATTGGGGGATTAATCCAGGGGTGATGGGGCATTAATCCAGGGGTGATGGGGGGATTAATCCAGGGGTGATTGGGGGATTAATCCAGGGGTGGTGGGGGGATTAATTCAGGGGTGATGGGGTATTAATCCTGGTGGTGGGGGGATTATTCCAGGGCTGATGGGGGATTAATCCAGGGGTGGTGGGGAGATTAATCCAGGGGTGATGGGGTATTAATCCTGGGGTGATTGGGTATTAATCCAGGGGTGATGGGGGGATTAATTCAGGGGTGATGGGGTATTAATCCAGGGGTAGTGGGGAGATTAATCCAGGGGTGATGGGGGTATTAATCCAGGGGTGGTGGGGGGATTAATACACAGGGCAGTGAAACTATTCGGCATGACAGTACAATGAACACGCAACGCCATTAATTTGTTGAAACCCACAGAAGGGACAACACCAAGAGTGAGCCCTAAGGTAAACTATGTACTTTAACAACAATGTACCGCTATTGGTTTATCAATTATAATAAAAGTTCTACGCTAATGCAAAATTTTTATACTTATTAATAATAAAAATGCAAGATGTTATTAAAAACTGTGCAGAAGAAAAGAGGGTATATAGAACTCTCTACTCGATTTTTCTGTAAATTACAAAAAGGGAATACATATATACTTTAGTATACAATAAAGATGGTGTCTCCAAGGTATTAGATGGAAAATGGAGTTTTTAATGAGCATGGTTCAGATATGGGGATTGCCACATGAAAAAAGATAAAATCAGATCCATTTCTTTGGGGTGAAGGACTGTGTTCTTGGGATCTCAAATTGAGACTTAAAATATGTATTTTTTTTCTCAGAAATACTATTAAATATAGTGGCCAGCTGTAGCTGAAAGAGTAATATTAATACTTGATTAAAGGTACATTCTGACCAGCTGCAGTCTTATCACCTGTGCCCTTGTTAGAACTTCAGAGTCTCAGGCCCTGCCCAGACCTGCTGCATCAGGGCCTGCCCTCCACAAGAGGCTGGGTGACTCCTGTGCATGCTGAGATGGAGAAGCACTGCTCTAAAACAGTACCTTACTGATGTGAAATTAAAATTCGCTAACTCAAAGGTTATCAGGTAATATCAACTATATTTTTATAATGCCTCAAAATGCACATTGACCTTCCTTAGGATCAAATTAAAACAGGTAATCGGTACTATACAGTGCCTTCATTATAACAGGTAATTAGTACTACATATAGTGCATTCATTACATATCACACAGGAAAATGTCCCTCATTAGATATATATTGTTTCCTTGCTACTTCTACCCTTTTAAAAACCACACAGGCGTTTAAAACCTAAATGGGGGTTAAGGGAAAAGAAAGTGATGAAATTCTGCCTGAACTTCTGTGAGGCCTTGGGGACCAAACACCTGCTTGTACTCGTGGACTCTGCGCTGCTGGAGCAGGTGGAGCTGAGCTGTGCTCAGATCCTCCTCCTCCAACAAACCCAACTTCCGGGCTCTTTTCAAATCTCCCCCGTGCTATGGCACTCCCATTTCTACTGCTTTTGGGAGGTGGGGAGGGTATTTTTGTGAACAAAATGTACCAATTTCTTCCTTACATTTGGGGGACATATTGAATAAAATCACAATTAAAACTAGCGCTAATGTAGCAAAATTCTTTCAGAATTAAATTTTAACATTTTAAAAATGTTAATGTTATTTAAAAAAATGTTAATGAGCCATTCCCCTGCCCCCCCAGTAACAGTTAACAGTAACTCAGCTGGGCGCGGTGGCTCACGCCTGTAATCCCAGCACTTTGGGAGGCTGAGGCGGGCAGATCACTTGAGGCTGGAAGTTAGAGACCAGCCTGGCCAACATGGCGAAAACCCCGTCTCTACTAAAAATACAAATATTAGCTGGGCGTGGTGGCATGCGCCTATAATCTCAGCTACTCGGGAGGCTGAGGCAGGAGAACTGCTTGAATGTAGGAGGTGGACATTGCAGTGAGCCGAGATCGCACCACTGCACTCTAGCCTGGGCGACGGAGCGAGACTCCATCTCAAAAAGAAGAACATACAAACCACAGTAACTGGAACTTCTGGGCATCCTCGTTCCCACAGAGGGTGATCGGCTCCTCCTGCTGCACCGGCCAGTCCCTCGGTCCAGATGGAAAACTGTAGCCTGAAGGGGACTGCCTGGGGTTCTGTGGCAGGGAAGAGATGGCTGGCTGTGTCCTCATTATGGTGGCACTATTCCCTCACGCTGCCACCTCTCCTTGTAGACACTCGGTTATCAAGTAAACAAACATTCCCTAATCCCAATTCATCAAAAACTGCCAACATACGGCCACCAGGCCACTTGGCAGCCGCTCTGCAGAGACTGTCAGCTGGAAGCTCTGGCAGCATCCCCCAAACAATCCTCTCTCATGCTTCCCTCAATGGGAACCTAAAAGCTGGGCTCTCCCAGGTAGACGCAAAACCAAGAAAGACAGCAGCGGTGACCCAAGCCGGCCAGGTTCTTCCTTAAATATGCTGTCATTGTTTGTGCCTTTCTTAGCAATAGCTGGAGCAAAGTGAAGACTGAAGTGGAAAAAGATCTTCATCCTCCTTGACTTGTATCATTGAAAAAGTCTTGCACAGGTTAAAAATCTTAAAGAATAAAAATCCGAAGGAAAAACATTATCTGCAACTTCATATGAAAGAGAAAAATGTAGGGAATTAAATCAGAAAGAAAAACACCCCTTCCTAGAAAAAATATATAGATCACAGAATTAAAACAATAAATGGAAGCAGCTGGAGAAACCATCTGTGAGCTCCAGGTAAGGTGTGTGAATTTCACTGAGCTGACATTTACTCAGCAGCTCCTAGCGCTGCGCAGGAGGGCCTGCACTGGGTGCACACAATGACAGCCACGAGGTCCGTGTCCTCAAGGAAACTACTCCCCTCTTCAACAAGATGCATACAGAAGCTGCTTTGGTGTAATTCATACTTTTGTTCTTAAGTAAATGCACATAAAAATACCTTTAAGCTGATTCTCTCAGTGGCCAAACCTAGCCCCTGTCTCTGAAGAGCTACCCTGGGAATCTCACTGAAATCCTCCATGCTGAGGGTGGTTGTCAAGCGAGATAAAATATGCAAGGCTTCCACACCAGCCCTGAGGCCCATCTCTCTCCTGCAGGGAGAAAGAGCATTGGAAAGGAAAAAAAAAGGAGAAGCTAGTCAAAATCTGTAAGGAAAAACAATTCCTAGTGGATCTATTTTTCCGGAAGATTCCCATGTATAGTTGTGACCTGCCAAAATCTAGGTTGGTATAAATACTGTAAAAGTGTTCTCATTCATCATTTAGAAAACATTAAATGAAAATACTCCTACAAAATTTATTTCAGACCGTCCCTTGTTGTGCTGAAAATCCGTGCTGCCACTATAGAAAAGAGAAATGTGCCAGGAATTGCCCGGGCCTTGGTGCTGGGCAGTGAAAAATGAAAGGGAACAAAGATGACATTTCAGCTTCCCTTCAGTGGGGTATGCTACCTTCCGCCACTCACTAGCTGTTTGTGCTGGGTGGCTCACATCCTCTCTGCAGCCTTCTGTGTCACTGCAAACTAGGGCGGGAGGGCCCAGAGGCAGCTAGGTTGCCGTGAGGCCGCAGCAGGTGTGACATGATGCCTGGACGCCTGTGCCACCTGCCTCACAGAAGGGTCTGCGGGAGCCTTCCAGACCCTTTGCCCAATTTTAACAGCTTTCTTCAGTAAGGCACAAACTTACAAGTTTGCCCTGGCATTTCCGTCTCATTTTCAAGTTACGCGAGTGCTTTGCTGGGAAGACTGCTTTGTATTTATTTCCCACTGTCTCTGCCTGTCTGGGTGTGTCCTTCCCTATCCTGACCTCAGCAGGCAGGATAAGCCATGCCTTTGGTTTGCCTGTGCTCAACGCTGGGGATACTGCTTGGTGTCTGTGCCCGGCCAAGCACACAGTGTCACACTTACAGCTCTCAACAAGTCATTTTTGACTTTAATGTGGCATTGTAAATTAAAAACAAAACAAAACAAACCAAACACAAAAACAGTGAGAAAGTCCTAAGAGAAAAAAATACCTTAAATATTTCTTATTTAAATGATTTGCTTAACTAAAGCCCTGAAGCATGAAGACAAACTGAGGCTTGGGTCACTGCCTCTGTACGCGTCTGCCACAGTCATGTGCAATCCACGTGTGGCTTCAGCTACAGCCCAGTGACTGGCCAAGGCCTGTATCTTGTGCAGACAGGATAAGGAGAGGTCTCCATTTGGGTGTTCTCATGGTAGATACGGAACCCCAAACTGAAAATTCCCCTATTTTTAGTAGTTTGTTCTAAGAAAAGACTGAAAATGCCAGATTTCATAAAAACGGTGGGCAAAGTGAAAAGCAGTAAGATGAACTAACGAGCCTTCTCCGAACAAATAAAGCAGCGATCACATGTCCAACCATCAACGCTCGGGAGTTCTGATGCAAAGCATTGTGACCTGGAAATCTAAAGCAGAACGTGGTCACTCTGCAAGGTGAGGTAATTTTGTCATGAAAAATAAAATCCGACACTGGAAACATGCTGAATATTTAATTCTGAGATATCACATATGGTTATGTGTTGATAAAAAAAAGTTTCAGAATTTAATTTGAGAACTCAAAATGTGAATTTCATGATTTTGGAGGGAGGATGAAAAAGGAAGAAAGATCCAGTGACAGTGTGCCTTTATGCACATAGAGGAGCAGACAGCTGATGGAAGAGTAGAGAGATTCGGCATCCGATTAATGGAAGTGTTTGCCCCATCCACTTTAATTTGACCTGATGGTAATCCGCACGGATTAAGTTCTGAAGTACCATTTCCTGTGACGTCATTACAGCTCTTGTAACTTAGTCTAAACATGCAGATCTGAATTTAGTATTAGAAGCAGCACTATACTTCTTAAACTGCATAGTGAAGATAATCAAGCTGCTTTATTTCCAGCGGGAAGATCTTTTGGGCTCCTATTTTCCCTCTAGTTGCATGGAAACTTGAAGTGAGCAATTTAATGCAGAATGTGGTACTTTAAAAATTCAAAGCACTATGAAAGTTTACATGCTCACTGCCATTGTGAATGTTTCTTTGGAACGAGAGGGGTAATTCCAAACAACAGATTAAAAAGATGGTGGTGGGGGTCTGGAAAAATTTAACTGCCTGAGAGAGGATGAAATTAAACTTGTCAGGAATGGACATTTAATTTTCTTTAACATAGTGAATATGTACAACACAAGAGTGAACCCAAGTGTAAACTATAAACATTTGTTAATAATGCTGTACCAATACTGGTTCATCAATTGTAACAAATGTACCACACCAATGCAAGCTGTTAATATAAAATGAATGAATGTTCTAGAAATATTTTCATGGATATAATCCCTATCAACACTTTTCATGACTGCAAACCCTATAATGGGAGAAACAATCTGCACTAGTGTAACAATTTAAAAAATAAAAAAAAAAATCTAAAAGAAAATTAAAGAAAGAAGGCTAGTACAGGGATCTGAAGAATGGCTCTCAAAAGAGAAACTTTGTAGGATTTTGGAAAGGTATTTTAAAGCCCTAACGTAAATAGTTATTATGAAGTTATCAACATTTAAGACAAACAAAAACAAAAATACTTTTAGTGCTGGGTAAAGGCTGGCATCCATGGCGACGGCGACCCTGCCGCCCTCTGGGCTGGATGATGTTTCCTGGGACCGGGATGCTCCCTGCAGATGCTGAGGTGCCAGTGAAGGCAGACGGCTGTGCTGTGGGGAGATTACAAGATTACAGAGACTGTCTGTCTACAGGGCCAAAGACTCTGTGGGATGAGATCCCGGGAGCACTCACGTTAAGTGCATCCCACTGTACTCGATGGAAGACGGCGAGGGCAGCAGGTGGCCTAGGGCCTCAAGGGTATGCCAGGAGAGAGAGCATCTTTGACAAGTGTGCACGAGGGGCTCTGCGGGCCTGCCTCAGAGCTCTTGGAAGCTCCAGGTGAAGAGCTGCAAGTCAGCAACTGTGTAGACTCTCTTCCCAACACCGCATCTCCCAGAGCTCCTCCACACCCAGCGGACGGTCCCAGCAACAGCGTGCAGAGCTCCTTCACACCCAGTGGATGGTCCCAACAACAGTGTGCAGAGCTCCTCCACACCCAGTGGACGGTCCCAGCAACAGTGTGCAGAGCTCCTCCCACACCCAGCGGAAGGTCCCAGCAACAGTGTGCAGCAGCTCCCTTAGGAAACGTTTTGGAAAGCTGTCTGGTAAATGTCTTTACTTGTCTCAGCCTACTTGGCAATGACATAGGCATGATTTCTTTGCATTTATTATTCCTGATATAACAGTATGTGGAATAAAGAAGATACTCCTAAAACATGTCATGTTGCGAACAAAAAAGGTTATGTTTGTATTTTTAAACTAGAATTATTTTTTCAGGGTTGAAAATAGTATTTCCCAGAATGGGAGAAGATATTAATATTTCCCAAATACAAAACAGATGAAGGATTAAATACCTACTATATAGAATGAACCTCAACCAATTAATAACAAAGATAACCCAACAGAAATACAGGCCAAGATTATGAAAGAGTGAGTCACCAAAGAGGAGACTCCGACAGACAAAGGACACATAATTCGGCAGAAATCAGAAAGACGTCAGTTGCGACAGGAGGTAGAATTTTAGACTCACTGGTGAAAGTCTGACAATCTTTAGTTACACAAGAGTGGGGAAACAAACTGACAGGCTGTGGCTGGGAGTGGAAATTAGCATGGTCACTCTCACATATGCCACTTTAAATTTACAGCTCAGAGAAACGCCTGAACATGTACAAAGGGAAATGTACAAGGATGCCCATAACACCATTGCTCATAATAGCCGAAAGGTGGAAAGATCCTAATTGTTCATCCTTATGGATACGGATATGGATGGATATGAATAATGGAAAGTGGGGAAAAAAAAGCAAATGAAGACAGATATGCTCATGATGTACATTTACAAAGCTTATAAGACAATAGTCTCTCTCTGTATATGTATTTCTCTGTGTGTATGTATATGTGTGTGTATGAAGCAAATATGTAAAAACATGACCTGGAAGAATACACAACAAACCATGATTGTGACTGCCTCTGGGAGGGGACTGAATTGGGAGGAGGTTCACAGGCTGTATCAGCAATGGGTACTTTCATTTGTTACAAAAATGTCTAAGGCAAATATGAAAAAATATTTGTTAATGGTCCGAGTATTTAATATTTGTATTTAAATAAACATCAATTTTTGTTGAGCAAAGAATAGATTCAACCAGATCCCAAAACAGACTTTCTCATAAGGTACGGAAGTAGTGGGTTAGAACAAAAGTAAATAGCTTTTATTAAAAAGCTATTAGAACAGAAAAAAAAGTAAAGTAAAAGTAAACAGTAAATAGACGTGGGCAACATAGAAAAATCAAATATCTGAATTTGCACAAATCCATCTGGAAACAACAGTGACATCCTGTGCAATGCAAGAGTACTCTACCTCAACTATCTGAAGAATTCACGGATAGGGAACTTCTGTTTCAAAATCAGAGAAACGCGAATAGGAAAGGCAAATTTAAGATATACTTATCTTTTTTTCTGTCCCTGGAGATGCATGATACAGGGTATCACTATGCAAGTGAAGTTCAATTTTCAGAGATAAGACAGTGGCTAAGAGCAAGTTTTCTGCACACTATTTTTATTCTTCTTGTTTTGACATCTTCCACCAGTATGACCAACGCCGATCCTCTGAATTCCTGAAGCTGCATGACAATTCTAGACAGAACAGCTCAGTTGCCAAGTTATGTGTGAAGTCTGAGGGAGCTAAAGCCACACAGTCTTTAAGTGTGTCCTGCAGGGACACAGAGGACTTCCAGTGAATGAAAAGATGTGGACAATCTGCTCACAACCCCCAGCCAGTTGGCTTCTAAACACAAATGTGAGCTTTCAATGACTACCCCACAACCCACGAAAGGAACTCTGATAAAAGGCTTGATGCAAGCAGCTTCCACCTCTCCCGCTTGCAGCCTGGGTGCTGGGGATGGATGAAGCTGGGCCCTGGGTTCTAGGGATGGATGTAGGGTCTGAGAGGGGAAGAAGCAACGAATGCAGTAGAAGAGGAACAGAGGAAAAGGGGGTGGAGATTGAGGAGCAAGAAAGGAAAATCAAGAGAGGACACCCAGGTCAGAGTCAGTGCTACCTGGGCTTCTTGTGGCTTTGGGGGCCCCACCCAGAACCGCACAGACCTCAGCTCCGGGGGCGCGGGGCTGGGTCGGCCCCAGGCCCGTAGTCCTCGGGATTCTTCCTGTGTGCAGGAGGGAGTCTCCAAACAACCAAGTGAAAGACACAGCGCCAGGGTCAGAAACGGGGCTGGGCTTTGGGGGTGGCTGAAAGGAACTGACTGAAATTGCTAGATTTGACATGTAAATACATCAACCATAATACTGTTCCTTTCTTGGATGAATTTTTTTTAAAAAACCTTCATGATTTTTACACATGATTCATTACATGTCTTGTTATGAATATTCTGAATGGGCAAAAATTACGCCCAATATTTACATGAAATATATTAAAGCTCATTCATAAAAGTTTTTATAATTATAGCCTCCTTTTAAAGCACATTTTAACAACTTGCTCTGCTTATATATTGCAAGCGAAAATGAAGTGAATGAATCAAAATCTTACATTTATGCTTTGTTACACCACAAAATGGGAAGAAAAATTAGTAAACATCCAGCATATTATTGAGGATGAATGTTAATACGCTTTTGCTAAAATGTATGTATGATTTATGTCTATTTCATAATTTAAATTAGCTTCTCAATGATGCGTAGCTGCTGTCTTCTCTTTATCCATTTACCAATGCAATTTAATTTCAGGAAGAATCAAAGCATGTTTTCTAGGCTTGACTGAACGTCCTTAGGAAAAAATGTCCTCAAAGTGAGGAAAGATGACAGGCAGTTTCCACCTAAACCCACAGATTTTCATTCGCTATCTTAAAGGGCACTCAGTGTCATTTCCATCAAAATCCTCTCCTTAGAGATGGGTAAACAGTGCCACGGAGTCTTCAGCACACTGTAAAATAGGATACACAAGGCGATGTTGGGCATTCCTGAATGGCCAAAGGTAAAGGTTAGAGACCAATGGGAGCTGGAGTTTTTTTTTTTTTGTAGGACAGAGTCTCACTCTGTCGCTCAGGCTGGAGTGCAGTGGTATGATCTTGGCTCACTACAACCTCCACCTCCTGGGTTGAAGAGATTCTCGTGCCTCAGCCTCCTGAGTAGCTGGTAGTACTGGTGTGCACCACCATGTCCGGCTAATTTTTTGTATTTTTAGTAGAGATGGGGGTTTTGCCATGTTGGCCAGGCTGGTCTCGAACTTCTGGCCTCAAGAGATCTTGAGATCTTCACGGCCTCCCAAAGTGCTGGGATTACAGGCATTAGCCACTGTACCCAGCCAAGCTGGATATTTTTACCTGGTCATGATAGGAAACATCTGCCTTTCAGTCACACTCATTCTTAAACACCTGTCATAAATTCAGAAGCAGGTGTTGTAAGAGGAGTCATTTTGAATCTATAATTCACACGGACCTCAGTAGGAAAAGAAACCAGAGCACTTGGTGCAGCTCTGCGCTTCAGGGTATCTGGTGGTTTCGATTAAGGCCTGGGTGCTCAATGCCCTGAGTTTTCTGTTAGCAGCAGACAAAATGCCTAAAAAACCAGCTGTTCAGTCCCAGTTCCAGTCCCCGGCCCAGGCAGAGTCCCACAGACCTGGGTCCAGCCCCCTCCCGGGACTATGAACCACGTGGGAGGGCGGGGTTGGAGGCGATGCTCAGGCTGCAGTCAGGCAGAGGGAAGAGATGGTTTTATTTATGCTGGGATGGGGGAAAACAAGGCTGATCCGTGTAAGAAATAGGAAAACAGCTGTTTCTTGACTATGATAGCTACCAGGCATAACTGATTAAACAGAAACACCCTCAAACTTCCCCAATTAACAATGCCTTTAACCTTTCCATCTTTTCTTCACAACCTACCAAGTGACAGGCTCCCCATTCTTTTTGGGCTGGAAATTCGGTCTTACACGGAAAGGATGACCCTCAAATTGGCGATGAAGTGGAGACAAGAAAGGGACACGACAGAATCAGGGAGCCCAGTTAATTTACAAGGTAGAACAGTAGCCCTTGAACAACCAGCCATGGCTGTATCTCTCCAACTCATGAGCGGATGTGGGAACCACCTACGTGCGGACTGGACGGAACTTTGGGAGGGACGTAGACGAGACTTGCTCCGGGGGAGAGAGGATGGATAAAGCCCTGCTCCTCGAGGACAGTGCTCACGACCACCGAGCAGCTTCCAGGCTGGAGTGCAGGAGAAGAAATACCCCAGGGAAGAGGTAAAGACATCTTTATCCAACCCATGGCTGCAAAAGCCAGACTCCTGGGGACAGAAGGCCTGCTTGGCCAGCAACACCAGTGAGGGCCCTTCAGCAAGTTCCCGAGACTCCTCTGGCCCCACTTCCTCCACCTGTTGGCCAGGCCACGGCAGACAGAGCTCCTGAACACGCACCCTCAAGCGGTCCTGGCTTTGGTCTGTTCCTCCTGGTCATGTGGAAGGCCAGCAGGACTGGACAGGCCAGTGGGTGGGCAGGAAGTGTCACACATTAAGGACTGGCGTCTACGTCCCTGGATGACACAGAGTCCTACGTCCGAGAGTGATAGTGGTGTTGCTGGTCCTTCTTGACTCTGTGGCTACCTAGCTTGGTTGGTTCACTTCCATGAAATCAAGCCAGCTCCATCAAGACAATCTCTTTGATTTATGCCCTATTTTAGTTATTAAAAGTTACCCTTCCCATTTTTTCTTTTCCACAAGGGGCAAATTCCCTTAGTCAGAAGGAAGAAACAATTTTAATACCAGTGAGACTAAAGGTCAAAAAACACTTTATACTAAAAATGATAAAAATCTCCATCAATTCTGGGATAACTCAGAGTAATATGGACCAATTCCCACCCGTCCTACTTGGAGGAAGGTAAAGATGATAAAGGAGAGAGCATGGGGAATAAAGAAAGCCGGCGTCTACATTCGTTCCTATGCCCCTCCAAAGAAACAGAGCTGAGTTTTAACCAAAAAAACAACACACAAAGAAGTTCAAAGATTTGTTTTTACTTCTAGCCTTTTTAGTTCATCTATTTACCTACTAGTATCAACCAAGTTCAACAGAATGTTTATTTAAATTTTCTGAGACTTCTATAGGAATTATTATTTTATTATTAATCAGGCCTTTGCATCTCTTGTACCACTGGTTTTAAATATTTTCTACCTCCAATCAGGCTCTGCATTTCCTGACAACTAGGACCATTCTCTGTAGCTCCACTGCTGCAGCCAACAAATGCTGACAATCGAGCCTGCAAAATGCGGCAGTGCGAGACTTTCCCATGTTACTGATACATTCGGAAGAGAGTAAGAAAACCAGCAAATACAGTTGGTACTAGATAGCAGCCATTATTCCAAGCAACTTACACGTGACATCATTTGATCTTTAGGACAACCCAGGCAGCAAGGAGGATTGGCATCTCTGTTTTACCAATAAGGACACTGGGGCACAGAGATGTCAGATAACTCCTCCAAGGCTACGCGATTCAATGGGGGAAGCAGGATGTAACTGGGGATGCCTGACAACAGGGCGTGGGCTTTCAATAGCTGCTTACACTGCCCTCACAAGACATCCTGCCAGGACTGTTTTCTATTTAAGAACACATGAGAGGCTTCAAACATATTTATGAGGTTCTCCACCAAGAGACGCACACTGCACAAGGCTCCCAGTGCTGCAGAAGGCTCTCCGTAACCCGCCCTTCTCCCTTCCCAACTGGTGGTTTCTTGTCACTCTCCTAGAACTACCCTATGCTGTAGCCTAGTGTTTTCCAAACAATGGTCGTGACCGTGACCCAAAGGGTGAACCACAACCAGATTTTTAAAATAAATTAAATCAGAATAGAGACAAACGGAAAATGTCACGGCGTGTGCCATATGCACGGACACGTTTGGTTCCACCGCTCTGCATCTCTGTGCGCCAGGTCCCGATATGGGACGGCTCTTCCCTGTGGAGCGCAGCTCAGACGTCTACTACCCGGCCCCTGCACCAAATCATGCTGCCCTGACAGAGCAGGTGCTTGACACGTAGCTGCTAAATGTACAAACAGATGCACCAGGGAGCACCTCCAGGTCAGTGTTTCGGTAAATCGGAGTGGGAGCATTCTGTAAGTCAAGGCTTGTTGCTGGGTACTTATCTGATTTTTCAAGACTGGATAAATAAGGAAAACTGAGGCTACGAAATTATGTATAAATCAAAGCAAACCAGAGCGACACACAGACAAATGTACAAATATTAAATACCATGGCCTTACCCCTGCGCCCAGGGTACACGTGCGGGTAGTACTCGTAATAAAGATCTGGCTGATCAAGATTTCCGAAGGGTTCAAATTCCATCTCAGCATTCTGGAAAAGGCCCAACTTCACTAGTAGTGCCAGCCTGACAAACCAGAGCTAAAAACAAAATACAATGGAAACAATAGGTTATCTACATATATCCAGTTCAGAATTTGCTATTCCTTATGAGTTGGTGTTAGAGGTTAATTTCTCATATATTAAAATAAGGGCTAACCTAACTTTCTATCTTTGCATATTTACACAATCGTATTTAAAAAATTACTCTTGAAGCTGGGCATGATGCCTCATGCCTGCAGTTCCAGCTACTCAGGAGGCTGAGGTGGGAAGATTGCTTGAGCCCAGGAGTCTGAGTCCAGCCTGGGCAACATAGCGAGACCCTGTCTCTAAGAAGAAATTACTATTGAGCTTAATAACAATGTGAATGATTTTACATAATTGTTTACTCAATAAGTAAACAGTGCTTACTGAGCAGGTCTGTGTGCAAAGCACTGTGCTAGGTGTCATGAAAATGAAAAGGCACCAAAGGAATGCGCCACCTAGTGGAGGGCGGGGGAATGACGGCGGGAACGGGAGCAGGAAGGAGAGGAAGCGCAGGGATGGGTTGTGTTTGAGGGCAGCTCTCAGGGCTGCAGAATTTCAAGGGGCCACAGGCTAAGGAAGGGTCTGCTGGTTCAGGGAACATAAGGACAAAGGTACAGAGTGGACAAAACACAACATACGAGAGAGCACAGTGTGCTCTCAGGGGTACATTCAGGAAAATGGTGGGAATTTGCATTAGACAGCTGCAGAGCCAGAGACTTAGGATTAAAAGGGTACCTTAGAAATGACCTAATTGGATCTGACTTTACTGATGAGAAGAATGAATTTCACTAAGTGTCCGCTGAAGGATGAACGGATAAAGGAACGTGGCATGACGCACAGTGGAATACCACTCAGCTTTCATGGAGGAAATCCCGTCGTTTGTGCTGTGGATGAGCCTAGGGGACATGACGTTAGACAAACAAGCCAGGCACAGAAAGACAAACACCGTGTGACCTCACTTACACATGGAATCTGAAAACACTGAACTCACAGAAGCAGAGTAGATGGCGGGTGCCGGGGCTGGGGGTGGGGAGGAGGGCCGGGCAGGGGAGGTTTGAGAGATGTTAGTCAAAGGAAACAAAATCCAGTGACGCAAGGAATAAGCTCAAGAGATCTATTGTAGACGTGGTGACACAGTTACAATGTATACTAAAAATTGCTAAGACAGATTTTCAGTGTTCTCATTACACACACACACACACACACACACACACACACACAAAGGCATGCGAGGCAATGCATGCGATTTAGCTTGATTTAACCATTCCATAGTGTACACATAGCCTGTCATGGTCTGAGGGTTTGCATACAACACGAGAAGATGAAATTTCACATGGTAGCCAATGGGAAACTATCCAGCTCTTGACTAGCTCCGTTTCAGACCTAGTTGGAAAGGAGGGTGGTTCACCCTCTTTAGGCAGCCTGGTGGTTCCTGGCTCTAGGGAGGTCACCATATTGGTGTTGAGCTAGTGCCAACACCTGATCAACAAAGTGCACTACGGCCCAGAAGCCCCAGGCCCAAGTGATCTTCCTGCCTCAGTCTCCCCAGTAGCTGGGACTACAGTCAATGCGCCACTGCGCCGGGCACAGTTTTCCAGCAGGAAAGTGAGATGATCAAAAGTGTGCTTTTTTGGAGGTAGTTTATGGAATGAATGTGAATAAAGAAACTTGAACTAAGTTCATAAAAGAGGCCAAAGCAACACTGCAATGAGAGCTCGAACTGTGGGTGGTGGTGGGTTGGAGAGAAATGATAGGAAAACAGCCTAAGATTTGGCAAACCAATGGATGGAGAGGTGATGGGGGAAAGTACATTTAAAGCTAGAGCGGCTCTTCTTGTCGGCTCTTGGGGGAAGAGAAAGAAGGAGAAGGAGCCTGCTGGAAATAGCTAAGCTGTCAGGGCTCCCCAGAGCTGCTCCTTTCAAAAGCTCATCACAGTTCTGAAGGATCTGGTGATCTGTTTAGTCCCGGGGGATTCCCATGTAAGCTAGAAGAACAGTTAAAAAACTCCCCAGGGAAAGGTAAGAATGTATCAACGTTTGCAGCTGTTCCTTCTTCTCAGATGAGTTTCCTTTTGTTCACAAGTCTATTTTGTGCATTCCCTTTTCTTTTTTCTTTTTTTTTAAATTTCAGAGCAAGTGATATACCACGAGGAGCAAATGGCACATGGACCCTCCGTCCTTGGGGTGGACAGAACCAACTGCTCCTGTCACTGTTTCCTACCGGGCCCAGACACGCCCCAGAGCCCCGCACAGGCCAGTTGCTACTGCCAGTCGTGAGGCGAACCCACCTGCTGACCCAAAGCCATGCCGGTTCCACCATGAGACTGAGTGTGGGCACTTGTGAGCGTGCTTCTGGGGCGCACAGGCGTCCTGACGGGCCGAAGTGAGAATTCCAGTGCCCCAGTATAGTATATACAATATAATTAGGAGAGAAAGAAGCAGGATATGAAAACATACTTTTTGTTATTGGCATGAAAGGCCATGGTCCTGTCCATGTCCCCAGACTGTGATAAGCCAGGTTAAACTCCAGCACCTGAAAGGTGTTCTCACCTGCAGTGAATCTGTCGTGTGGCTGGTGAGCAGCCCGCTCTTGCCGTAGCCCTGGCCGTGGGCTGTGAGGAGACGTCCGCACAGGTCCACTGCTGCCCTCCAGTTTCTGCAGCTCTGCAAGACACGGCAGAACATGTGACCAAACACACATGCAAGGCATGGTGGAATCCATGACCCAAACGCATAGCCACTGGCCACAGCTGCTCACCTTGCTGGAAGCAGCGCCAGCCAGCCGTTAGTAATGGTGACAAGGTCAGTGTGCTGACGGCACGGAGGGGCATGCCATTTGTCAACGCTGCACGTGTAATTAGGCAATAAGAGAGCCAAGCGTGAGGTACAGTTCAAGCCGATCAAATCATAAAAACATTACAATTCAACAACCGATAGAACATCGGGAAGAGGCTTTTTATTGGAAAGCTCCGCACATCTCTCAATCTATATGACTGGTTTCCTTTTTAGCAAGATTATCTTAAGATTTCTGTCAATTTAAAATCAATAAGGAAATTTTATGCTATGTGTTGGACATATTTATTTGTATCTGTAAGATTTGCATATGACTCTAAAATAACTGGCTTTATATGTTCATAATTTTAATTTATCAATATGAAAAAATCAATGAACTGGGTGAACACAACATGTTCCAGGCCCGTGTGGCAATGCACAGTATACTTTCACATCACTTAACGTTACGGCTTCAACATGGAAAGGCTGGCTGGTACTGACACACTGGCTGATTCGTACAGACTCTTGTGTTTATCTTTGCCCTTGTGCAATACAGAAAGGACAGCCATTAGGCAAATGAATGGGAAAATAAGATCAGAATGTTTAAACCTTTTAAGAAGCTAAAAGTGGATGCTCACTCTGTCTTTTCTCAATGTAACGGGCACTATCTTTGAATACGGTAGATGTCCTCATTTCTGCAGCCAGTCAATAAACATGCTTTAAGTACCTCCTGCCTGACAGAGACTGCAAGGCTGGCGGGGAGGTTAGTGAACGAGCACTCATTAGTGGTATGATCTAGCAAGGGAGACAGACAATTAAACAATATGTTTCTCAAGAATTAGCTAAATGATTTTGTGTGCATGCCAAGCGCTTCTCTGACAAGAAGTTTAGGAGTTTACATATTTTAAAAACGTGTGGTAGAGCCTGCCACACACTTCTTCTGTATACTAACTCACACACGCACTACTCCCTTTCCACGCCTCCTGCACTCCACGCCGGGACACAGAGAACTCAGGACCTGCTCATGAAACGCCTAGGAGGGCAATGAGTCTCAGCTTTGCACTACAGTTGTTCTGCAGTCCTTTATTTGGGCTTCCTCAGGCAGGAGCTAACGACCTGCTCCAATTCCAGCCACAGCGGCGGTGTGGGGGGCTGTGTTGAAGGCAGGAGAGTGGGGCTTGTGTCTTCCGGGGCTCTGACATGTGGCCTCACACTCACACTGCAGGCTCAGCAATGGCTGAGTTTACAGAGCTGAGGTCATCTGTCCCACCTCACAGATGTGACAATTAAAGAAGATACATGAAAGTGCTGAGCACAGTGCCAGGCAGGAGGCAGGCATTAAAAATGTGAACGATGCTGTTAAAAATTCCCAAACTGTTTCTTCATCAATCCAGAGTCTGCGTGTGCGTGCCTAGTGAAACTCTATGTGTAAGGAAAGGAACGGGTGCTGGGCCTTGAGCTTCAGACAGGCCAGGCTCTACGCCTGAGTAGCCGTGTGACCTGCTGCAAGCCACCAGCCGTCCCTGGGCTGCAGGCATCTCAGTTTCCTCCAGGTCTTCTGAGGGGTTGATAGTTGTTTTTTTTTTAAATGCTGAACATCCTACTGTCCACATTACCAGTGTGTTTACCCACTGACCTATCGAAGGACCCCTTGGTTGCCTCTAGTTTTTGGCAACTATGGATAAAGCTGGTATCAACATCTTTGGGCAGATTCTTGTGTGGATATAAGCATTCGGCATAACTGGGTGAAATATCCAGGAGCGTAATGCAGTAACTGGATTGCTGGGTTGTACCTAAGAGTATGTTTAGTGTTGTAGGAGGCCGCCAAGCTGTCTTCCTAAGTGGCCGCGCCATCTTGCCTTCCCTAGCAGTGAGGGGTCCCACGGCTGCACGTCCCGTGGCACTTGGTGTTGTCCATGCTATTTTTCAGCCACTCTAACTGGCATGCGTTTCACTCTCAGGTGAACTTTCCACCGTTCTCTCATGGAGTTTTTCCTTTCACTGTACCTGCCACAGCCTGACGGTGAGTACTGGCCTCCACGGCACCCACCAGCGAGCTGCAAATATTAGCAGGGCAACTCAAATGAGATTTCTTAAATTCTATCTTGTAGATTTTTTTTTTTTTTTTTTTGGAAATGAGGACACCAGAGCGTACACAGTGCAGTTGGAGTCTGTGGTTTTCTTCACTAGCTGGTGTGCGGCCACTGGACCAAGTCAGAGAACCACTGATCGACGGTGAAGATGAGATCGGTGCCACGTTCCCCTAAACTGTCCAGACTACAGCAAGTAATACAGGATTTCTGTGTTCTGGTTGACAGTTCAGAAGTATTTTTAGATTGGTTAAGATAATTTACTAAAACGATCTCCAAATGCCTTCTCTAGTCTAAATTCAATGCAATAATCACTTTATATAATACAAATGGCTCTGTATATTCTCTTTGAATTGCAAATGTGAAAGAGTGAGAGGGAAAGAGATTGTGCCAAGTCTGAACCAGTTCTATATATGCATCTAGGCAGATTCTGTATCCAGGGGCAACTAATAACTGCTCCCTTCCTGGTTCCCTAGGCCTAAGGCTCTGGCCTTTCCTGCTAGAAAGGCTGGGGCCCTCTTCCCTCAGGACATGACCTACAGTGAGGACAGGCAGGAGTTAATCAGGGAAGGGGAGGGGGCGGAGACCCTAGAAGAGGACAGAATGTGTGCAAAACAAGGCGAGAGCAGGCATGGGGGGCACAGGGAGCAGAGGGCAGGGTGCAGGGCCCGAGGGGATGCAGTAAGGACCAGCGGGCCGGAGGGAGGCGGTGGAGGAGGGGCCGAGCAGGTGTGGATGAGGAGAGGCTGGGGAAGCAGGTGAGGATGGGGTGGCACAGGAGGTGAGGCAGAGGAGGGTCGGGTGTGCTGGCCTTTGCAGGCTTCCAAGAGCACAGGCCACAGCAGTGTCGTGTCATCACATTTGAAGGCCCCTGTCTCCCTGCACTGATGGGGTGAACTTAAGGCGTCCGTGTAGATGTGAGTAAAGCTATGAGGATGTTCCAGCAGCTGGGCCTGGTGCTGGCAATCTGTGCACATCCTTTGGACGCCCCCCACCCCCTACTGCCTGAGTTGGTAGGCAGAGCTCACAGGAACCCAGAGCCCAGCCTCGTGTGCACCTGCACGGTGATAAGGTTCTGTGCTACCATGGAAGAGCTGGGCATTCACAGCAGAGCTGAGGAGCTGGACAGATACTGTATGGCCAGGAAGTCTACAATGTTTATTCTATGGTCTTTTACAGAAAACGCTGGCGGATCCCAGGTCTAGGCCCCTCGTGGCTCAGTAGTTCATTTCTGTTGACTTCAAGGAGGACTGTGGGCTGACTTCAGCCCGCGAGTGGCTTGCGACTGATACCTGAGGACGAGGCACAGGAATGGAGATGCTCCTGTAGTCACGTTGACAGAGAACTTTATGTGTATGGCATGCAGTGATAACAAAGCAGGGGCCTGCATTTGGCATGTTTTCCATTTTATTCTTTCATGACTGATTATTGTGAATTAGTTATTATTTATATTGATGGTGCAGAGTGGCAGAAGCAGGCGAGTATTTGTAGAGATATGGTTTTCCCATGTTGCCCAGGCTTGTCTTGAACTTCTGGGCTGAAGTGATCTACTCACCTCGGCCTCCCAGAGTGCTGGGATTACAGGCATGAGCCACTGTGCCTGCCACTATGACAATTTTTTTTTTTTTTTTTTTGAGACAGACTCTCTATTGCCCAGGCTGGAGTGCAGTGGCACGATCTCGACTTGCTGCAATCTCCGCCTCCTGGGTTCAAGAGCAGATGTCTCCAGGAGGCAGCCTGCAGAGGAACTCAACATCCGGCAGGTTCCAGACAAAGCCATTAGCAGCTTTGTTGAGAGCTGGTTGGACTGGAATCAGACGAGAATAAGATTTGGGGAAAGGCCGGGCGCGGTGGCTCACACCTGTAATCCTAGCACACTGGCAGGCTGAGTCAGGCAGACTGCTTGAGCTCAGGAGCTCAAGAAGGGCAACATGGTGAAACCCTGTCTCTATAAAACAAAAATTAGCTGTGTGTGGTGGCATGCATCTGTAGTCCCAGCTACTTGGGAGGCTGTGGTGGGAGGATCATCTGAGCCCAGGAGGCTGAGGTTGCAGTGACCTGAAGTCATGACACTGCACTCCAGCCCGGTGACAGAGTAAGACCCTGTCTTACAAAAAAAAAAAAAAAAATCTGTGGAAACTAAGGATAGGGAAGCAGAGAGATGGGCAGCTATAGGAACCTCTAGGGAAGTCAGCACTACCAGACTGTCAGGGGAGGAAAGGCAGACAGCGGCCGCAGAAGGTGAGACCCTCAGTGTCTGTGTTTAACCAAGTACTTGAGTGTGTAAAAACGCAGAGGAGGAGGCTGTAGCTGGAGAAGGGCTGATGACACATTAGGAAGAAAGGATGACCCATGGCTCAGGGTTCCAGGCGTCAGGGCATGTGGGCCGAGGGCCATCTGCGGGGAGGACAGTCTGCCCGCTGACCTCAGCAGGAGTGTGTCCAGGACTAGGGACGTGAGGTGCTACCAGAATTCTGTTTTGGCTCCAAAGCAGGGGGAAGGTCACTCGTCTTTAAAAGTGAGGAGGAAGGGGAGGGGTGGGAGGCGTGAGAGAGGTAGAGATGGTCTAAAAGGGCAGTGGGAGAGACCGGAGCAACCTGACGGGAAGGCCCTGCAGTGCTGATGATGCACCCGATGCTGCCAAGCATCACTGCAGATGCTTGGACGTGGGAATTCCTCCTGCAGCCTCAGCGGCTGGGTGTCCTTGCAGAGGAAGCTGGAGGCTGAACCTGTCAAAAGCGCAGGTATCTGAGATATGTGCAGTGGAAGAATGAAGGAACAGGCATTTTGGGATTTGGGAAAGGCACGTGTGAGATGTGGATCATGGAAACCACGCTAGATGGAGAAGGAAGTGAAGTAACGAGGTGCTGAGGCAGAGTCAGCAAGCAGATTGGTGAGCCACGGTGTGCAGGAAGGCAGAAGAACCACATGTGGGTGTGGATGCCACAGTGACCAGCTGGCTGGCGGGAGAGGGCACTCAGGAAATGGCAGATGTCCCACTGGAGCTGTATAGGGTGTGGGTGATCACAAGGCTCCAAGCGTCACAAGGTGATCACAGGGCTCCAAGTGGCCCCCACAAGAGCCAGAAGTAGTCCTGGGAGAATCAAGAGCTGGGGAACGGAGAGGCCCCGGGACTGGCTGGGCCACCCCTGCAGATCCCGGAGTCACTGGGTGAAGGGAAGGGTCTGGGAGGAGGACTACCAGGTCATCACTCCTCAGCCATTCTCAGCTACCTGACCCCGGCCAGGCTGCTGAACTGTGCCTTGGTTACCTGGTAAGTAAAATGGATGTATTAATAGTTCTTCGTGATTCTTGTGAGGATTAACAGTTAACACAGGTGAAGTACTCAGAACCATGCTGGGAGCCTGGTGAGTGTGCAGGCAACGCCAGCTTTTCTCCCCAGGGCTCTGCAGCATGGCACTTTCATAACCTCTCCGCGTACGTCTTCCCTGCTGGACTGTTGGACTGTTAGCCCTGCAAATGCATGGGCTGTTATTATTTTTGGTCATAACATTATAAAGTAGGCATTATTATGACTTTTTTTTTGAGACAGGGCCTCGCTCTGTCATCTGGGCTGGAGTGCAGCGGTGCGACCACAGCTTCACCTCCTGGGCTCAAGTGATCCTCCCACCTCAGCCTCCGAGTAGCTGGGACTACGGGTATGTGTCACCACACCCAGCTAATTTTTGTATTTTTTGTAGAGACAGGGTTTTCCCATGTTGCCCAGGCTTGTCTTGAACTTCTGGGCTGAAGTGATCTACTCACCTCAGCCTCCCAGAGTGCTGGGATTATGGGATTACAGGCATTAGCCACTGTGCCTGCCACTATGACAATGTTTTTTTTTTTTTTTTTTTTTTTTTGAGACAGAGTCTCTATTGCCCAGGCTGGAGTGCGGTGGCACAATCTCGACTCGCTGCAATCTCCGCCTCCTGGGTTCAAGTGATTCTCTTGCCTCAACCTCCTGAGTAGCTGGGACTACAGGCGCCCGCCACCACACCCGGCTAAAGTTTGTATTTTTAGTAGAGATGGGGTTTCGCCATGTTGGCCAGGCTGGTCTCGAGCTCCTGACCTCCGGTGATCTGCCTGCCTCGGCCTCCCAAAGTGCTGAGATTACAGGCGTGAGCCATCACGCCCGGCCAATGACCATTTTTAAAAATGAGAAACTTAAGGTTTTAATTCTCATGGAAAGAAGAACAAAGAAGTTCGATGAGTAAATGTTGGCGGAATCTGCATTTCCTCATTCATTCACTCAGTGGCCATTTACTGACTGCCTGCTGTGAACCAGGCACTGTGCTAGGCTCGGGGGGACACAAGGCCGACGAAGAGGGCCAGGTCCCAGAAGCCAGGGCAAGTTTCCAACATCAGGTCACAATGGTGAGATTTCAGTTCCAGGCAAGAGGGGCAACTGGGTGCTTCTAAACAGAGAAATGTATTTTGAAATAAAATGTTTGGAAAATGAATCCAGCTGCAGCGTACAGACCGACTAGGGCAGTCTAAAGACCGCACGTGGTCAGATGCTGCATCACCTGGCCCGGCAGGAGGAGAGCAGCAGGCAGCGGGGGCGGTGGGGGGAGCCGTGGCTGCTCCCTAGAGGGTGAGAGAGACCCAGAAACAAACTAACCAATAAAACACTAACGTGGAAATCTGAGGGACAGCGCGAACCTGTCTCTACCCACCCAGGGCAGGCCGGACATGGAGACGCAGCAGGCAGATGAGCTGGGTTTTACAAAATGACAGAAGATATAAAAAATGACAAGATGGTGGAACAGTCACGTGAAAAGTGCCTGGTAAACCTGCAGATGGCAGGTTGTAGCTGAGGAGAGAAGACACTGGAGATGCAGGTTTGGGAGAAGCATGTGCCAGGGAGAGGTGACCCAGAGAGGGAGAGGAAGGCCTTCCTGAGAGGAGCGGGAGCAGGTACCACAGAGCATCTGCCCTGCAGCCCAGGAAGGCTGCCCAGCAGGGCACAGTGAAGGGGCAGGGGGAGGGCACAGTGAAGGGGTAGGGGGGGGGCACGGAAGAGGCCTGGGGGCACTGCAGTGAAGGGGCAGGGGAGGGCACAGTGAAGGGGCAGGGGGAGGGCACAGTGAAGGGGCAGGGGGAGGGCAGTGAAGGGGCAGGGGGAGGGCACAGTGAAGGGGTAGGGGGAGGGCACAGTGAAGGGGTAGGGGTGTGCCTAGGAAGTGGCCTGGGGGCCCTGCAGTGCTTCTGCTCTCAGCTTCCAAGGACAGAACTGCCCCTGCGGACACACAGGAAAGCTCACAGAATGCCCCTGATGTTTCGGGGAAGGAATAAAGAAACCTACCTGTGGAAGTCATGGTGCGAATGCCTGTGAGGCGAAGCTGTTACAAGACAGCCCTTAAGGCAGGCTGGGCTGGCGGGGCAGGCTTAGCTCTCTGTTCATACTGATATTAACAGAAGCACCCAGTCACTCCCTCACTTAAGAAGCATCTACTAAGCACCTAAGAGGAGGTATGTCCTAAGTCAGGCAACAGGAGTACAAAGATGAATTTGGCATGAGGGACAGTCATACAGAACAAATGGCTACCAGTGCATCAAGACAGACACAGATGCTCCATCCATACCCACAGTAAGTTAGAAATATCTTGAGATGAAAGTAAGTGGGCCAGGCGTGGTGGCTCACGCCTGTAATCCCAGCACTTTGGGAGGCTGAGGGGGGCGGATCATGAGGTCAGGAGATCGAGACCATCCTGGCTAACACGGTGAAACCCCGCCTCTACTAAAAATACAAAAAATTAGCCAGGCGTGGTGGTGGGCGCCTGCAGTCCCAGCTACTTGGGAGGCTGAGGCAGGAGAATGGTGTGAACCTGCAAGGTGGAGCTTGCAGTGAGCTGAGATCGCACCACTGTACTCCAGCCTGGGCAACAGAGCGAGACTCTGCCTCAAAAAAAAAAAAAAGAAAAGAAGTGAATGCAGGCCAGGCACGATGGCTCACTTCTGTAACCCCAGCACTGTGGGAGGCTGAGCTGGGTGGATCACCTGGGATCAGGAGTTGGAGAGCAGCCTGGCCAACATGGTGAAATTCCAGTTCCACCAAAAATACAAAACTTAGCCAGATGTGGTGGTGAGCACCTGTAATCCCAGCTACTTGGGAGGCTGAGGCAGGAGAATCACTTAAACCTGGGAGAGAGGTTGCAGTGAGCGGAGATCGCACCACTGCACTCCAGCCTGGGCCACAGAGCCAAACTCTGTCTCAAAAGAAAAGAAAAGAAAAGAAAAGAAGTGAATGCACCATCTAACCTACTGAATGTCACAGCATAGCCTAGCCTACCTTAAACATGCTCACAACACTTACATTAGCCTGCAGTTGGGAAAATCAGCCAACACAAGGCCTGCTTTATAAAGTGTTGGACATTTCACGTCATTTCTTGAATTCACCGCGAGTGAGAAACAGAATGGCACGTGGGTGCTCACAGCACAGTTCCCACCGAAAGGGGAGCGCTTTTGCACCATCATAAAGTTGAAAAATCTTAAGTCAAACCACGGAGGTTGGGGACTGTCTGTACATACACACATATGCATAAACACAAGCAGCAGACCCTCTATCTGCCGGGGACCGGTTCCAGGACTCCTGGGATACCAAATCCATGACTGCTCAAGTCCTTGGTTGGTCCTCCGTATCTGCAGGTTCCACACGCGTGGATTCAACCAACCACAGCTGAAAGGTTGCTGTGCATACCTCACTGTGTTTCCCAACTGCGGGTGGTGGAATCTGTGGATGCGGAACCTGTAGATATGAAGGGCCAACGTACGTGATGTCCATAAGAAATACATACATGCACACATACGTGTGTTTATGAAATACGGACACTCCAGTGTGGGAGACACCGAGACCGGTGGCACAGGGGTGGGGAGTCTCGCACGATGAACAAGAGGAATGCACGTCAACGACGGGGAATGGTGTCCCTCGCGGGGCAGAGGCACAAGCGGCACGGCATGGACACGCTTGACAGCTCTGTGAGGACACTGCTGGCACACAGCTCTGTGAGGCACTGATGCCTGAGGATTCAGGAAACGGGCCGACACACGGCAGAGCACGTTCAAGGCACTGCACAGCGGGGACAGCTGGGGGATGGGGTCAGGGGGATGGTGGGGGTGAGGCTGAGCTGGAGCTGGAGCTAGAGGCTGGACCCCAGAGTGGCAGACCCCAGGGTGGCGGCAGGGGGGAGGACAAGAACCCGGGGGGCTTTGAAGGGAGAGAATGAATTCTAAGGACTAAATCCAGAGTGGAGTGACTGCTGCCAGGACCCCACTGCCATGCTTATCTGGATCACACGACGAAGTGAGATTTCTTCTGAGATCACACGTGCCTGGTTTGAGTGACTGGTTACGATGGGTACTGGCTGCCAAGTGGGTCACATTTCCCAAACTGAATGAGCTGAATCTGCAGTCCTACTGCTGATGGAAATATAATTAAATCACATATGCAACATACTATGTGCTAAAAATTAATTATATCCTTTGAAACCATTTAAATTTATGATAAAACATTTTAGATAGCTTAAAAATGTGTGAGGGGTACCTAGTTTTCTAATTCTTTGGGGGGTATTACGTGAATAAAAAGGATACTGAGCTGGCTTAGTGAACAAGGCACAAGGAAACAAGGCCTGAACTAGCACAGGAGGGGAGGGGCAGGGTGGAGGAGACAAACACTCATATGAATTATTTAGGAGGTAAAAGTCCTGGATTCTGGCCAGGGCAAATGGGTACTATCGTAAGCTAACTGAGAGGATACAGCAGAAACAGCAGGCTAAGGTGGCGGGTGCTGGTGAGATGATTACGCATACTGACACCTTTTAAACACTTACAGTACTGTCAGGCAGGTTAGCTGCTTCAACAGAGTTAGCTAACACCCCCATCTACCACCTCATCCCTGTGCACACTGTGGAATAGTACAAACAGTAAGTATGAAGTGAAAAAAGAAAGTCAACTGTGGACAATGGCACAGTATTCTCAGATGCATCCTTGTCGTCTTTTTTTAAAAAAACATACAGTGTCTTGTATCATTTACTCAAAACTTTCTTATATCCTCAAATATGTTCTTGGGACATGATTTATAATGGCTGCATGATATTCAATCACACTCACGTACACATTATTTGTTAATTTGATATTGAACGTGTGTCACCTTTTCAGAAACTATAAAACTGTTCACTAACCGAACACCACTCAACAAGAGCTGCTGGTGCTACGGAACTGGCCGAATGACACTCTATTCATGTTTTATCTAAAAGCTCTTCATCAAGGTTCTCTGGGATGACAATGAGTAATGAAGATAATGAGATAATCCTTTGCCACTACTATGACTAGCTGTCCCAGGATAAAAGAAACCAAGACCATATTTCCTTGAGTCCAAGGAGTCAACTTTTTTGACTATCACAAATGGAAGCAGTACAAAAAGCAACAGAAAAACCAGAGTCCTAAAGAAAGAGGGTATGCAGTGGTTAGACAAAGGAAACTGCCAGTTTTTATGAACAAAAGTTATAAACAGTTAAGAAGAGAAACTGTAAATAATAGTTTTTAAGTTCTACCAGTAACCCGGAGTTGTCCTTCTGCACTAAAAGTATTCAACTGTTTTCTTCTGGAAGGGTCTTTGGGAGCAAAGACCACCATTTATTTTGTATAATAAATGAACAAGATATCTGTACATGGCATATTTTCCTTACTTTTGTGGTAATACAACTCCTATTTATGTCCACTCACGGCTAAGTTGGGCCTTTTCAGGTTGTACTTATCAACTTATGTGCCTAGCTCTGTGTGAAAGGTATTCCTAATTTCATTGAAGTTGTGAGTGTGCTGACCAGGTCTAAAACAACAGAACAGGTCACAGGAAACACAATCATATCAATGATTCGGAACAGATGATGGCCCAGTCTTCAGCTGGCCACCCTGGAGTTGGAGATGACATGAATCCGTTCTAGATGAAGGTGTAGCTGGCCGCTCTGTGTCGCCGAGCCCTCACACGCCCCTGCTCCAGTCAGAGCTCACCTGCACTTGCTCATTGCAAGATGAGCACCCTCAAACCAACCTCAAACCTGATCTTTTTGTTTGTTTTTTGAGACGGAGTTTTGCTGTTGTCACCCAGGCTGGAGTGCGGTGGCGCGATCTTGGCTCACTGCAACCTCAGCCACCTGGGTTCAAGCAATTCGCCCGCCTCAGCCTCCTGAGTACTGGGATTACAGGCGCCCACCACCACACCCGGCTAATTTTTGTATTTTTAGTGGATATGGGGTTTCACCATGTTGGCCAGGCTGGTCTTAAAACTCCTGACCTCAGGTGATCCACCTGCCTCGGCCTCCCAAAGTGCTGGGATTAAAGGTGTGAGCCACCATGTCCAGCCTCAAACCTGATCTTAATGGTGCCTTTCCTGCTCATGGTGAAACCTTCCTATTCTTAATTCCTATTTCTCCTTTAGCTCCTTGGGGCAGTGGCCGCATCTAATGCATTGCTTTTTAATTTCTAAAAGCATTTCTTTAGTGTGGCACTTGGCATGCAAAAAAATTGTGGAACAGACAGTAAATTCATAGCACTACAAGAAGACAGTACAAGAATAAACTAATGCTTAATTAACCACACTAGTAATCAAAGAAATGCAAATTATAATTTACTAGTGAGTTGATCTTCACTAGCAAAACAAATAAAAAGCAAATGTCATTGTTAGCCTAAAAAAATTAGAATTTTTTTAAAAAAAGATACAAGTCAGGATAGGCAAGGAGATGCTACAGCCAGTGCACTCAGGTGCTGTGGAAAACATAACCTGGAATGACCTTCTGAACGACAATGGGGAGTATTTATGAACAGCCTTTGACTTCAGAATTCTCCTCCTAAGACTTATCCTAAAGAAACAATCACATATGTAGAATTCTGTATAAGACAGTTCATCTTAAGATTATTTACAATAACTTCAGATTATGTGGCTATTAAAATGTTTTTAAAGACCCTTTTATATGGGGAAATGCTAAATATATAATACATAATAAAAAGACACAAATTGATAGAAGCATATGAATTTTGTGCCTAAGCATATATACACAAACATGTATCTCCATCTTCATACATGCACACTATGTATAGTATAGATATGCACACACATACGTATAACACATACACTAAAATGTAAAAGGACAGTGGTTATATAAGCAATCTTTTTTTCAGTTTTTCTTTTCTCTTTTAGATACAGGAACTTGCTATTTGTGAAGGGAGGAAAAAAGAGTTTTGTGAATGAAAAAATAATGATGGATCAGCACTCATGCAGACAGCGCTTTGATGTCCTGGCCTGTCAGAAATCAACCGTGTGCATGTCACTTCTCTCCACACAGTGACGCCCTCAGTCTCTGTACCTAGAACAGTGCTTGACATGCAGGAACCAAATTCAGGCTGGTTGAAATAATACAGCATTTTCACAACAAGTATGGAAGGTGTAAGTTACTACTAAGTATAGCAGCTAAAGCATAAGCAAAGTTTTGGGTTTTTCTGAAAAACAAAAGGATTTTGATACAGTAGATATGGAATCTCCTGATGTTCAATTCTGTGATGCCACACAAAGCCCAGTGAACTCAATTTGTTTTTTATTTCATTTTATTTGTTTTTGAGATGGAGTCTCGCTCTGTGGCCAGGCTGAAGTGCAGTGGCGTGATCTTGGCTCACTGCAACCTCCGCCTCCTGGGTTCAAGCCATTCTCCTGCCTCAGCCTCCCGAGTAGCTGGGACTACAGGCGTGCACCACCACGCCCAGCTAATTTTTGTATTTTTACTAGAGACGGGGTTTCACCATGTTGGCCTGGATGGTCTTGATCTCTTGACCTCGTGATCTGCCTGCCTCGTCCTCCCAAAGTGCTGGGATTACAGGCATGAGCCACCACGCCTGGCCCTCAATTTGTTATCTATTTGATGGACCTCAAAGGCAATTTGAATTTGTGTGGGCACAAAAACATATCAACGGGAAGATCTGATTATGGATACTTACGTATTTTTTAAACAAGTAAGACATATTTTACAGTAAAGGCTTCCATCTCATTTTATACCCACTATGTATAGATACTCGCCACCAATCAAACATTTACATGTGTAATAAAATTATTTGCAAGGGCTTTGCAAACATAAAGTACTCCATAAATGATTAAAAATAGTAAAACATATCATATAAAAAGCCTTCAGCTTTTGCCATGATTTCATATTCTAAGACTTATTTTCTATGTCTCACACTAGATCACAACTATTAAAAATAAAGCAAATGCCTACCATCTTAATTATTCATTTCTTTGGGAAATGTAAATCTTTTAAAAAGTGGCTTCTTTCCTGACTGAAAATAGAAAGCAGAAATGTTTATGCTCTTGTTACGGTTTCTCCCAATATAATTTTTCCACAGATGACTGAATATGAAAGATTTACTTGGATAATTGCTGCTATTGATTAAGTGTGCACTATTAGAGTGAGCAATTTACTGGTTAATATCGATTGGTCTATAAATGACATGCAGTCATATCTACACAAACTTACACCAACCCGAGAGCCAATTTTCTAGGAGTCAGAACAACCCAATTCCCTGAGACGATAACACAAAAGAGCACGTGGCAGAGAGAGTCTGGGCAGCCCTTTCCACCTGCATCTCCCAGGTGGAGGCGCAGAGGGCTCGGCGCTGGCAGACCTGCTGGGGGACACGGAGTGGGGAGCAAAGGGGCAAGGCCCAGACCCAGCCTCACACCTCAGCTGGGGAGAGCCCCCACTGCAATTCAGGGCAGACGTGACTGAGAGAGCCCCTTCATCTCTAATTTAGATGTGGTGTGAGAGTCAGATGCATCAGTAGAGGGAATAGAAACAGGATTTTTTCATTTCTTCCCCTTTTTTTTTTTTTTTTTTTTTTTTTTTTAAAGACAAAGTCTTGCTTTGTTGCCCAGTCTGGAGTGCAGTGGTGCGATCAGGGCTCACTGCAGCCTCCACGGCCTGGGCTCTGGCAATCCTCCCACCTCAGCTTCCCGAGTAGCTGGGACTACAGGTGCGTGCCACCACATCAGGCTAATTTTTAAATTATCTGTAGATAAAGGGGTCTCACTATATTGCTCGGGCTGATCTTGAACTCCTAGACTCAACTGATTCTCCTACCTCAGCCTCCCAAAAGTGTTGGGATTGCAGGCATGAGCCATTGTGCCCAGCCAGATGATTTTCTTTGTATAATCATTTAGAAAAACATTAAAGGAAAAAAAGAGAAGAAAACACATTATTTACCATTTACAATTTATACTTTCCCAAATGGTGATTTTTTCTGATAAGAGAATATAAAATATTTGTCTATAGTTCCAGTTTACTTTGTATTTCAAAAACATTTCTAGGCACAGGAATATTTTTGTTCACACCAAAGGAGATGAACTGAGACCATAACTGTCTCTCCTCGCTGAGGTCAGGCTTTGCTATCATATCCTTTGTCGGGGGCCTGGCAGGACATGATGGCTACTGCATGGTCACAGGAGTTTCTGAAGAGAGTCTTAACTTTTTGCAAAGTTGTGAGCAAGGGACAGTGACGTGCCCAGGGCATGGCACCAGAGGGGACTGGGCTGCAAGACAGCTGTGGCAGCCTCAGGAAGAGGATCACAGCCGCCAGGAGACTGCCCCTGGCCGGGCAGGGCTCAGGAGCCACGGTGCACATAGCTCTGTGCCGCAGCGGGCCGCGCAGGGCAGGAAAGGAGCGTGTGTGGGAACAGGTGCACGTGTGGGATATCCAGGGCGGCACAGAGTGAGCTTGGTCAGGTCGCACTGTGCTGCCCGATCAACTGCATATAACATAATTCTCTTCTTTTGGATATTGAATATTAAGATTTTTAATAGAATTTTTGGCTAAGTAACATAAGTAATACAGCAGCAAACATTCTTGAATGTCTTTTTACACACATGTACAAGTTTTTCTAAAGTATATAATTGAAAGTGGGATTGTTGAGTCAAAAGTTATACAAAGCATGTACTTTATTGTTATTATTATTTTTTTTTAAATTTTTTTTGAGACAAGGTTTTACTGTGTCACCCAGGCAGGAGTGCTGTGGCCCGATCATGGCTTACTGCAGCCTCAACCTTCCAAGGCTCAGGTGATCCTCCTGCCTCAGCCCCACAAGTAGCTGGGACTACAGGCGTGTGCTACCACACCCAGCTAATTTTTGTACTTTTAGTAGAGGCGGGGTTTTGCCATGTTGCCCAGGCTGGTCTTGAACTCCTGGGCTCAAACGATCCACCCACCTTGGCCTCCCAAAGTGCTGGGATTACAGGTGTGAGCCACCACGCCCAGCTTTATTAGCTATTGTTAAATTGCTCTGCAAGACAATTCACGTTCGAATCAACAATGTGTGCTGCCTACCCTTACTAACTGGTGCTGCCAGTGTGATAGGCTTGTCCGCTTCCCTCCTCTTTAGTGTTTCTCCTGGTACAAGCCTCCAACTGGAGGCACGGTAGACATTTCCTTGGCCACACATGTCAAGCACACGTGTTTGGAGGTTTATTTTTACCAGCCTCGGCAGAGCACAGCCTCAGCATTCTGATCTTCAGACTTGTCCAAGAGGTGATGTGGAACTAGCAGAGCCAGGGCTCTTGTTTAATGGACAAATGCTGGAGAGGGGACGACCGGCCAGGAGGAACCAGCACATCCTTCCAAGGTGGGATGTGACTGTGGCTACTGTGAGAGCCAGAGCCAGTTCTTATGATCGCATGCCGTCTGCTATTTGAAATTATAATTGCTTATTTTCTTAGTGTGTTTTTTGCTATTTTTATCTTATTATTTTCCACCTTATTCCCCTTCCTGGTGGCCCTCCTCCATTTTCTTTTTCTTTTTTTTCTTTTTTTGAAACGGAGTCTTGCTCTGTCGCCCAGGCTGGAGTGCAGTGGCGTGATCTTGGCTCACTGCAAGCTCTGCCTCCCAGACCATTCTCCTGCCTCAGCCTCCCGGGTAGCTGGGACTACAGGCACCCGCCACCACGCCCGGCTAATTTTTTGTATTTTTAGTAGAGATGGGGTTTCACCGTGTTAGCCAGGATGGTCTCGATCTCCTGACCTCGTGATCTGCCCGCCTCGGCCTCCCCCCTCCTCTATTTTCAATGATAGATGTCAGAAATATGAAGCAAAGAAACTATTTTTAAAATCAGAATCTAAAGTATACCACATAAAACTTTAAACTTTGTGAAAGAAATCTTATGAAAATCTCATAATTACTGTACATGACATGTAAAATTCTAATAATGAAGTTAGTCTGATATGAGATAAAGATTTTAGATAAAAACTACTTTTACGTTTTTTTGCTAGGAGTACGATACAGGGTCTATTTGAAAAACTGAACGTAGGCATTACACAATTTCCAAATGATGAGAAAAATAGTCTAATAAAAATCACTCAAGTAACTAATGGCATGTACATAACTTTTCTCCATCTAAGACTCAAAGGGAATTATTACCTCTACATATGATACCATTAAAGTGATTAACACGTCCTTCTCCCAGGCTGTGACATCCATTTCCCTGTAAATTACAATCTTAGGAAACTCTGACATAACTTAGGGAAATAATTCAAAAACCCTTTCCTGGCTGCCTTAAAGACAACACGAATTATTTTAGGACACACTAGAATTAAAATACCAGGGCAAGGTAAAGATCCTTTCATAAATACATTTTTCACCTTACGTAAGCTCCCTTGTTAGGCCTGTTAATAAAATTTCTGATGGTCTCAAGTATTTCCAACGTATGAAACACATCAAACCATTGTATATATTTATTAATAACAGGAACGATCAAAGAGGGTAAAAAATAGCCTGTAGAAAAAATTAATTATAATTAACATGCATGGCTTTGTGTGTGATTTTTAAACCCATTATTATAAAGCCCTGTCATGCTGCCAGTTCAGTTCCTGCCTCAAGAGGATACATCACAGCAGCTTCCCCATGGCCAAACCAAGGGGCCACGCCCACACCCTTGGGAACAGAGCATGGGCCAGGGAAATGGCCACCCTGGAGATCCGTAACTGCATTAGCAAATTATAAAGGATACAGATACTTACAAATTAGCTGTTTTTTCCCCTTTAAAAAAGAGTATCTCCATCTCTCTCCTCTCCAAAGCTTTCTAATCATAGAAATAATTACAGAATCACTTTGGTAAAAGAAACTCAAAGAAGCATTCGACTGACATTGACTCACATTTAAACTTGGTGTGATGTGTGAAGGTAAGCAAGGGATGCTTGTTTACCTTTTTGAGGACACGCTTCTGTAAATACGGTAAAGAACGTGGGGAAGAAAGGCAATTTGGGGAGCATAGTTTCCAGTGGTTCACAGGCTACCAGAGGATTCAGACAGCAAACACCTACACCTAAGATAATTTCCTGCTTCTATTTTAGGAGAGGGTCTCTGCCTGGGTTTTTGCGCTTACTCCGAGTTAATGAGTACAGACCTGTGTGTGTATGTTGCGTGACCATGTGAGTGACAGTTCCACAGCTTGGGGAGCGTGGTGCAGAGGAAGGAGGAGAGGGAAGCGTCTCTGGGGAAGGTTTGGCTTCTCTGAGTCTGGAAGGGTCCTTCAGTCTCTGCAAGTCAGGGAACAGCTGGGAACTTTGCTCTGGGGCAAGAGGCCTGAGGGATTCATGCTGGAGCTCTCGGGATTCCCGCCAGTTACAGAAGCAGGGTTGTGGGAACTGGTATTCAAGATGTAGTACAAGCAGCTTCCCTATGGGAAGTGGATTCAGGGCATGAGGAGAGAAAAGAGAAACTTCACTGCCATGGGTTAGGAGTGCAGCTGAATTTGTGTCTGTGTCTGAAGACACTGATGAAGAATCATAAGAGTTACAATAAATTTGTGAATCTGGAATATATACTTCTTTTAAAAATAGTGTATGAGCTTCAAGTCAGCAATAAGTAAATTAAAAATAATAGAATAGCACTTCTAAATCTGAGTAAATCCCATAAATGGTTAAGAAGGCAGAACTTCACGGAGCAAGAGCACTAGCTTAGCAACCTTTATTGTTATTGCTGGAAAGAGAAGAGGCTTAATATGTGTTTGCTCAATGAATACACTAAGAAACACAAGTGAGAACTTGTTTGTTTGAATCCCATCAGATATAAGGTCTTCTCATGGGAAATCCTACCCCTGGATACAATCCAGTCCTAGAAGCTGTATTGAAAAGCGTAATTCCCACGGTGTGTAGATCCGACGGTTCAGAAATACTAAGTCATTTGGTGGGAGGTAGTCAATGAGCAAAACCAACACCAGCAACTGTGCTTTTTGCTGGGCTGTGCGGACTGTGTAAGGGACATGGGGCAGTAGGGATGGTACTGGTAACAGGAGCAAGGACATTTGTTTGGGGCCAACCTCTACACCTTTGTAGATCTTAGTGTTCTAATCTACAAAGCGGGCATTTTGGACTATGTTAGTTTTTCAAATTTTTAAATAGTAAAATTCATCCTCCTTTCCCCCCACCCCCCCAAAAAAAGACATCTCAAGAGAGACTTCTACATAAAGTAGACCCTGCTGAAATGCTCTGCCTGACACTGGCCCTACCAAGTCACCTCCGCAGGCCATGCCCAGTCACCCCAAGGTCCCTCCCTGGAACCCGAGGGTTCTCAGAATCACAGTTTGAAAATGTGCTGGATTCGATTTTCATTCCTTTCAAATCCTTCCTTTCCTTTTCTGTCATTGCAGAGGAAGAAATGTTCCATCTTTCTCCAGACTAATCTTCTTGTGGTTTCATCTCCTCACTCTTTGCGCCCCCTCCCCCGTAACCGCCCCCCACTCTATCCTTTTGTATGAGCTCCTTCTCTATTTCTTTAAACCCAACATTCTGACGCTACTTCTTTATCAAAAGAGTAGCTTACCGACTGGGGGTTCTCTTATCTATTCATTCCCTCATCCCTTTATTTACTCAAGAAGACGCCGTGTACCCATTCTGTGCCTGACCGTGCTGGGTCCTCAGATGCACTGGTGAACAAGACACGCTTCCTGACTGTCACGGTGTTTATTACAGATTTTTAATTTTTGTAGGTTGGCTCTGTCTCCCCCAAGTTACAGCATTTGTTATTGACACTGATGACATGTCACCTCCCAGTTCATGCATATAATGAAGTCAGGATAAAATCCAAGTAACTAAGGCTGCTTTGCCAATGTTCGGTACTTTCTCAAAAACAGGCTTTTTGGGCAAAACTCCAAAAAAAGATTTTTTTGGGAAAAAGATCAGGGATCAAAGGAAGTTAAAAATCAAGATCGAGAAGAATATAAGAAACTGACTTTTGAGTAAAATGGGGAGGATTCTATATTTTTTCCTTTAGGCTCTCTTAGGAAGCAAGAGATCTGCTGACAATAGAACACTAGAAAGTAGAAAGTCAAAGAGAAGTTTAAAATCAGAAGAGAGGGACTAGAAAATCCAGGAACCCAGGGCACGATGTCCCTGCGCGACCTCACAGCAGAGTACAGCCCCCACCCATGCTTCGGAAAGGCCCTCACACAACCGCGATCTGGGTCATCACAGCCGGGAGCCAGGCCCCAGGCAAAGGGGTTCCAGGTGGCCCGGTCAGCGTAGCAGGCAGTCCCCAATCCATACTGAACCCAGGAAAGCTTCTAAAGTGTCACAGAAGTCACAAGACCACACATAATAAGGATTTGTCTGAATTCAAGAGAACTAGTCAATTAAGGAAAAAATTTTGTTACTTTGTTAAATGCTCCTGTTAAAGATCAAGAAATCACTCCTCTCCTGGCTCAGGATTTCAGCCTCACAAACATCAGTCATTTCTGGCAGAATGGGGACAGGCTATACCTCACTTTCAAATACAGAGGCAGAGGTGATGTAACAAAAAAGGAACTGGGATTATTTTCTTCTGAACTTCACTGTAGTCTTCTTGCAAGTAAGTGATTTACATATTACTGTTTTCACACAAAAGACAGTTGCCTCTGAGCTGGGACTGAGCCACGCGCTACTCCAAAATAAACTTTAAAACATTCTCATTTTCTGTTTTAGTTCACAGGCTAACCTTCACCTGTCATTTCAATGGGCTGCAAAGTTTAATCCTCCAGAAATTTCTAAACTTCTCAACTATTATATCTTTAGGAACTAAAGTTTGCTTAAAATAGGTGAAATCTGGTCGGGTGCGGTGGCTCACGCCTATAATCCCAGCACTCTGGGAGGGTGAGGCAGGCGGATCACCTGAGGTCAGGAGTTCAAGACCAGCCTGGCCATGGTGAAACCCTGTCTCTACTAAAAATACAAAAAATTAGCCGGGTGTGGTGGTGCACGCCTGTAATCCCAGCTACTCGGGAAGCTGAGGCAGGAGAATCACTTGAACCCGGGAGGTGGAGGTTGCAGTGAGCTGAGATCACGCCATTGCACTCCAGCCTGGGCAACAAGAGTGAAACTCCATCTCAAAAAAAAAAAAAAAAAAATTGGTGAAATCTGAAGCCCGGTGCAGAAGAATTAGTAACAATTGAGAAAAACAAGATGGGGAACTATTAGAAAAATAAGTAAATTAGGAAATTCCATTCTCTTTTTTGAAAGTTGAAAGGTGAATACATGTCCTCCAGATTGTTCACCCAAATGGAGAGTGTCTGGACCATGTGCCGCTGAAATACAGTCAGGATAAGGGCGCATTTCAACATGAGTTTCAGACAGCCGGTGGGACTTATTCCCAAAATCAAGGACCTCACTCTCCAAACCCCTTCAAGAAAGTGTGCCCACTAACTTGACTGCATGCAGGCATGGGAGCATGGCTTTGCTAAGTCCACTCTAGGCAACCGTGTGGATGAGCTAGCAGAGCAATTCCACAGCCCCCTAAGGAGACAACACTGGGGAGCTGAGATTCGGTGTGAGATGGGGCTCTCATTTCAGAGTACTTACCCCATGGCTACCATAGGATTCCTGAAGGAAACATACGCGACAAACTTCCAATATCTTCTCCTTAATCTAGAAAAGCTACCCAACGCAATTACAGCTGTCTTTAAGATTATAAATTCATTGGAAACAAATCAACCTGTACAGCAATGGTGATCCAGTACTAATGTTTTTTTATTTTTATTTTTTTGAGACGGAGTCTCGCTCTGTAGCCGAGGCTGGAGTGGCAGTGGTGTGATCTCGGCTCACTGCAACCTCCACCTCCCGGGTCCCAGTTCAAGCGATTCTCCTGCCTCAGCCTCCTGAGTATCTGGGATTACAGGAACGCACCACCATGCCCAGCTAATTTTTGTATTTTTAGTAGAGATGGGGTTCACCATGTTGGCCAGGCTGGTCTTGAACTCCTGACCTTGTGATCTGCCCGCCTTGGCCTCCCAAAGTGCTGGGATTACAGGTGTGAGCCACTGCGCCCAGCCATGAATTTTAAAAACCTACTTATAGAATTCATGACAAAGCTTAAAAATGTTCAGAAATTCACCCATTCAATAATAAACTTTCTACACAAAATGCAGAAAATGCAATATATTTAAAAAATGAACACAAATCATTTATCTCTATTATATATGATGAAGCAAACTCAATCAAAGTATGCACTGCTTTGAGTAATTTGATCATTTCCAATAATGGCTTTTTAACTAATTAGGCTTAAAAGTATCCATGTATTAATATGATGCTTTTTGGTGCACAGGACTGGCATCTACTCCAACAAAATTCTACTTATGTGCAAGAGCTTTGAATAATATTCAAAATAATTGACTTCTAGAGAAAATATTATGAAGGCAGGCAGGACTTATCACAAAACAACACTGAAATCAAACACATTGTCACTTACGATTAGCTGTTTCAATCCAACAAAAGATTGTTCCACTGAGTCGGCATTTAGGACTTGTCTCTTTGCTGCAGCTTTTTCACCCAGAAAGCGAAGCATCAAGTCTTTAACTGCATCTCCCTGGGAAGAATAGAAGAAAAATATGTCAAGACAATAAAATGTCAACTAAACTCAGCTAACCAGAACCCATAACTAAACACAATTTCTTTTTTCTCCACTGGCTTGTGGAGGTAAAAGTAACGGTTATAGTATCGTAAAACTTCAATTAACCAGAAGCTAAATTAGCACAATCGTTAATAAAATGCATAATTTTAGAATTGCTCTTTATTCTTTTTATTTTAAAAATTATATCTTTATTCACCACTGATCAGAAAGCATGTTCTTTATTCTGAAGAGGAAACGGTAAGTCCTACCGCCTACTACCAGGCTTGTAGTGAGAGGCAAAGCCAAGCCAGCAGAGAGGCCTCAGGTGAGGGGCCTAGGGAGGCCCAGGAGCATGAAGGTGACACTGCTGGGGACCAGGGGCTGCACCCACAGTGGCCAGCCTCGCGCTGGTGCAGGCAGGCCTGAATAGTCTTCCCAAATCTCATCAATGCCTCCATGCTTGCCTGGACCTCCAGGAAAGCCTGGAGGGCTAGGGCTAAAGAAGTTAAATTACCAATGGCCCTCTCTTCAGTGCTGAGGTCACCAGCCAAGCCAAAGGAAAACTGAGACCCCCTTTCACAGCAGGTCCTCGGTAGCCTCGCTGAGCCAGGCCTTGCTCCAGGAGCTGCTGGGCGCACTTCATGCTGCAAGCCAGGGAAGAATCCAGTTGCCTCTGCACGGGACCGTTTCTACTCCTGACCTGACTCCTCTGATTAGAACGATCTTTAGACGGTGCTGAAGAACACTGGACGTGGAATCTGAAGCATGCCACTTGCTTTAAAGGGAAGACACAGAAGGGCAAGGGGAGGGAGAACAGGTGCTTTTGTGTGGCCTGGGGACAGAAGAGATGTGCCAATGACCTGCCCTGAGCAGGGAGCAATCTCACAGCTAGTGTCAAGCCCAGATGCTGGGCGAGCCAGCCTTCATGACCCTCGGGAGTCGGCACAGTTCAGGGGCCCCAGGGAAGGGCCTGAAGTTACCAAGTCTGTTGTATGGGGACAAACTAGTCATCCCAACAGTGCAGAGAAAACTGTCACAGTCCACAGGCCTCAGTGCTGTTTCGGTGGCTGCACCGCAGGCCGAGGGAGAGTCCAGGGTAAGTAAAGGCTGCTCACAGGACACGATGCTCTCCACGGGCGGCAGGAGACGCCTCTCACACACAGCTGGGACCAGGACACAGCCCTGGACCATCTCTCTCCTTTCTGGGGGTGCTGCTGACTGAGGAAAGGCACCTGGGAAGGGGCAGCAGCACTGAGGTCCCTGAAACACCTGAGGCAGGGGCAGCTGGGGGGATAGAGCAGCCCAGGGGGAAAGGGAAGCAGCGCTGAGGTCCCTGAAACGCCAGAGACAGTGAGTATCCTGGGAGGAGGAAGCAGTGGCTCTGAGGTCCCTGAAACGCCAGAGACAGTGAGTATCCTGGGAGGAGGAAGCAGTGGCTCTGAGGTCCCTGAAACGCCAGAGACAGTGAGCATCCTGGGAGGAGGAAGCAGTGGCTCTGAGGTCCCTGAAATGCCAGAGACAGTGAGCATCCTGGGAGGAGGAAGCAGTGGCTCTGAGGTCCCTGAAATGCCTGGAGACAGCAAGCAGCCGGAGCTGGCTGGATCTTCCCTGACACGTGCTCTGGGCGTCTGGCCCGCAGCAGCTGCTGACAGGGACACAGCACAAAGTCCCTGCAGTCTCTCGGGTGAGCAGAAGAAAGACTCAAACTAGGACAACCCCAAGATGGGGGGTGGAGAAAGCCAAGATCTCTCCATCTCAGCACAAAGCTGCCTCCCAGCCACAGAGAAGCTGATGCTCATGCTGCAGGCGGGCCACTGGGAGCACGCAGTGACTGAGGGTGCAGAGAAGCCTGCGTGCCCCCTGCCTGGACTTCACCGCTGGCTCAGATCTCTTCCTATTGTTCTCCTACCCTTTTTTTTTTGGCGGCGGGGCGGTGGCGGGGGGAGCGGGGGAAAGAAAAGCATAGAAGTTGTTTCTCCTAAGAAGCAAGGTTATTTCAATCTTTTGCTATCTTTCAAAATAGTGACACTTAAAAGAAGAACAGAATCTAGACCATGAGAGCAAGAGAATCAGAAAAGCTGCTGACATTGCTTCTCTGCTCTGCTGCCTCCCTTCTACCAGGAGAGATCAACAGCCTGCGGCAGAAGGGGCTGGGTGGCTCCAGGTCATAGGTCTGTCTCTTCCCTGGGTGCTAAACCTGGTGCTCGCAGAGGCCAGCCTCACGTTTTCTCACATTGAGGAAAAGACCTAGGGGCAGCAGTTGTATAATTTCTGCTTTCAGAGCATAAGGTGAAGTACTTCAAATACCAGATCCACAAAATCAGCTAACTGATCTAGCAGCAATAATTAAAAGGCAAAATAAAAGAGTTCAGACACAGGGCCCCATAAAGCTCTGCAAAAATGCAACTCGTCTCAGACAAAGAGCATCTCAGCCAGGGGGGCAGCGAGCTGGGTAAAGAGCAAAATCAAATTGTAATGCCAGGGACGGAGGGCCAATTCAACTCCTCCATCCCCACAACATTATCAATGAGACCATGCTGTGAAAATCTCTTGTCCTTAAAATTCTCTGTTAGTTAATATTTTAGCTACCACAGCAAGTTCCTGAGATACTAGCATATGCATGACTATCAAATATCCCACCAACAGAGGGCCAAGGATGTGACAAGCGTCTTAGGACAAACCTCGCCCTTGCTGTGTGGCTAACTGAAGGTGGTGACAGCGCAGGGAGGTGGAGACGCTTGTACTGCATCTCCTCTAGCCGTTACTGTGCAGGGGAGGTGGGAGGGGGAGGGAACTTCCCCCAGGGCTTTCTAGAGAGCTGTGCTACTACACCTGGGATGGAATCCAGCTAGAACCAATGATTCCTTCAGACCAGCAAGCCATTCAGTGAGGGTCTACTTTATCCAGGGCAAGGTTCAGGGAACACGAAGGAAACACATGAATATATCACAATCTGGGACTCATCGTGATGTCGCCACCCCATTCTCCTGGTCAGGTGCATTTATGGAGGAGCAAGTGGCTGTTCTCACGGCTGACAGGCGGTTAGGGCCTGGCTGCCTTTCCTGCAATGGGGGAATAGTCTCAGTAGTCCCTTCTTGATTTTGATGGTGAAAGACAAAACAGAAGCCAGAGCAGTGGACTGAAAGCGTATGGGCCTTACTGTCTGGGAAGCCCAAAGACACAAATGCTCACGGGGTAGCGCTGCTGAAAGGCAGCAGCCCCTGCACCTGGCACAGAACACGCTGAGCTTTCTGCCACATCGCCAATGCAGAAAGGTGCCTGTTTATCCTGGCAGGGTCTATCCTCTGATCCAGTGTTTGCTTACTCCAGGGAAAAATGAGACCACCTGAACAAAAAAACCACAACAATTAAAACCCAAACCCAAACTCAAGGATGTGGAGCAACTGGAACCCTCACACACCACATCATTGGTGGGGAGTCAACATGGAATAGCCATTTTAGAAAACTGTCTGGCGGGGCCTCAAAATGTTGAACAGAGTTACCACAGAATCCAGCAAGTCCACACCTAGCTATACATCCCAGATCACTGAGAACACATAGACACAAACGCCTGTGTGTGAATGTTCACAGTAGCATTACTCACAACAGCCAAAAGGTAGAAACAGCCCAAATGTCCACCAACTGATGAATGAATAAAAAGCAGCAGTAATTTGCTTCTGTCCATTTCAGGGTAACTGGGACTGGACTGTCTTGATGTGAACAACTGCAACATTGCTCAGAAGAAATCTAACAACTGTCTTCAGACACAGCAAAGGACTGTGACCCAACAGAAGGAAAACATGAGTTGAACTCTTGAACCCAATGGCACTTTTTGGACCACATTGCAGGAGGAGAATCCCAAGCAGGGTTTGGGACATCAAGGAGGTTAAGGCGGGTGGGCTGATGAGCTTGAGACTGTACTCAAATATGCTTTCCCAACATTCTTATTTTGCTAAATTATTAACAACAATGGGAGACAGAGAAAGTGTGAGAGTGTATGTGTCAGAAAGAATATACATTATCTCTATATAATAAGTTCCACCTACATAATCCTTTGTGGTTTATTCTAAAAACCCAGCTACAATTTATAACATAATTTACTAGAAAATGGTTTTGGAACATACTTACAAACTGGATAATTCTTATATCCAGAGATCTAGAAAGGAGGGAGCTAAGCAGAGAAAGGGTTTGTGTGGGAGCCCTTGAGTTTACTGCTGACACTCAGCTGTATGTGCAGAGAGTGCAGCTCTGAAGGCAGGAAAGGATGAGGTGCTGTGAGCTGACAAGCCCAGAGCTCACACAGGGCTGTGGGGTGTTGAGTGTGGGTCTGCCATGGACAGAGTCCTGTGAGCTGGCAAGCCCAGAGCTCACACAGGGCTGAAGGGTGCTGACTGTGGGTCTGCCATGTTTAGTGCTCTCACTGAACAGAAGGGGAATTCAGTACAGACTTCAGAAAGGTCACCCAAAAGTAGAAGCTACTGCTCTAAAGTCATTCTAAAAAGTCTAAAAACAAACATGAAACTAAATCTGTAAATAAGTTACTTGCTTGTCAGAATAAAGGGCAAGTCTTTTCAAAGGAAGATGAAAAAGCTAGACACACAACCTGAAATCCACAATGTCCACCTTCTAATAAAAAATTACTAGACATGTAAAACATGTGTCCCGTAACTAAGAGAAAAAGTACATAAAAATAGATGCAGATATTACATAGATAATGGAACTTTCAGATAAGAACTTTTCTTTTCTTTTCTTTCTTTCCTTTTTTTTTCTTTAAAGAGGCCTATGTTGCCCAGACTGGCCTCACACTCCTGGGCTCCAGTGATTCTCCTGCCTCAGCCTCCTGAGTAGCTGTGACTATGGGCACATGCCACCACACCCAGCTCAGAAGACAACTTTAAGGTGCCTCTTATAAATGTTCTCAAGAGTTTAAAGTAAAGCTTGAAAATGATAAAAGAAAAATGATACGAAAAAGAACCAAATAAAAATTCCAGAGGTAAAAAACATGGAAAAGTCACTGAATAGGATTAGCTGCAAACTAAAAAGTCTGAAGAAAAGATAAGTGAACTTAAGGACAGCAGTAGAAATTCTAAACTTAACCACAGAGAGAAAGACTGCAAAATAAAAACACAAAAACAGATCCTCAGTAGCTTCTGTGGCAATATGAAGCAGTAGGTATACCTGGAGTTTCCAGAAGTAGGAGAGAGAAAAAACACAGAAAATACCTGAAGAAATAATGACCCCAAATTTCCCCAAATTGACAAAAATGATAAAGTCTCAGATCCAAAACAGCCAATGAATGCCGAGCAAAATAAACATAAATCCCATGTGAAAGTACATCAGAACCAAACTGCTGAAAAACCAGGGATAAATCATAAAAGCACCCAGAGGAAAAATATACAATTAGGTACAGAGGAGCGAGGATAAGAATTACTACAGACTTCTCATCAGAAACTATGCAAGTCAAAAGACAGTGGGATGGCATCTTACAAGGTCTAAAAAGAAAAAAAAAAAAACCTGTCAACCTAGAATTCTACATACTGTAAATATGTTGTATATTTGGCAAAAATAAACTTTAATAACGAAGATGAGGCTGGGCATGGTGGCTCATGCCTGTAATCCCAGCACTTTGGGAGGCCAAGGTGGGCAGATCACTTGAGGTCATGAGTTCAAGACCAGCCTGGCCAATGTGGTGAAGCCCTGTCTCTACTAAAAATACAAGAACTAGCCAGGCGTGGTGGCTCACTCCTGTCATTCCAGCACTTTGGGAAGCTGAGGTGAGCAGATCACTTGATGTCAGGAGATTGAGACCAGCCTGACCAACATGGCAAAACCACGTGTCTACTAAAATTACAAAAATTAGCTGGGTGTCGTGGCACATGCCTATAATCCCAGCTACTCAGGAGGCTGAGGCAGGGGAATTGCTTGAGCCTGGGAGGTGGAGGTTGGAGTGAGCTGAGATTGTGCCACTGCACTCCAGCCTGAGTGACAGAGTGAGACTGTGTCTCAAGAAAAAAAAAAAAAAATTAGCTGGGCGTGGTGGTGCGTGCCTGTAGTCCCAGCTACTCTGGAGGGTGAGGCATGAGAATCACTTAAACCTGGGAGGCGGAGGTTGCAGTGAGCTGTGATTGTGAAACTGTACTCCAGCCTGGGCGACAGAGCAAGATTCTGTCTCAAAAAAAAAAAAAAAAAAAAGTAATAATTTTGAAACTAATAAAAGCTGCGAGAATCTGTAGCTAGTATACCTGCACCCCAAAATTAAAATTTCTGCCCTTCAAAAGACACCTAAGAAATTGCAAAAACAAGACATAGAATAGTAAAAAAAAAAAAAATTGCAACACATCTATTGTGTATGATAGCTCATTTCCAACCAGGATATTTACAGAATTCTTAAAACACAGTAACAATAAGACAAACATCCGAAGTTTGAAAGATGGAGAAAACGTTTGAAGAGATGCTCTATAAAGATATACAAACCGTCTACATATCAAAGGATTAATACATGAGATCCTTTGTATCAAGTAGTCTATATAACCTCAGTCATCAGAGAAATGCAAAAATCGAAAAAAGTTGACTATACCATGGATACAAAATAATTGGAACTCTCATACGCTGCTGACGGAAACATGAAATACTGTGCCCACTTTGGAAACTGTTCTATTTCTTATAGAGCTAAATGCACATTTATCGTAAGCCCCAGAAAGTATACTATTAAGTTTTTACCCAAGAGAAACGAAAATATATCCACAAAAAAGACTGTACTCAAATATGCTTTCCCAACATTATTTTGCTAAATTACTAATAACAGGATAGAGTGTGAGTGTGTGTGTGAGAGACAGAATATACAACATTATCTCTTTATAATAAGTTCCACCTAGAGAGCCCTTTGTGGTTTATTCTAAAAACTCCCCTACGATTTATAACATAATTTACTAGAAAATGGGTTTCGAACCTACTTACAAGCTGGATAATTCTTACATACGCAGCAGTGGGAATTCAGTTATCAGCAAAGGCTCAAGGCTGGCAGTAATTATGGATTCCAGATTCAAGACTTTTGGTGCTGGAAGGACTCACTGGAGGAGACTCTCAGCCATCCACCAATCTCTGATCTCCCCCCCCTTTTTTTTTTTAACCTCAGACAAAGTGCTGCTCTGTTGCGCAGGCTGGAATGCAATGGTGCAATCTCAGCTCACTGCAACCTCTGCTTCCTGGGTTCACGTGATTCTCCTGCCTCAGCCTCGCAAGTAGCTGGGACTACAGGCGTGCACCACCACGTCCGGCTGTTTTTTGTATTTTTAGTAGAGATGGGGTTTCACCGTGTTAGCCAGGGTGGTCTCGATCTCCTGACCTCATGATCCACCCACCTCGGACTCCCAAAGTGCTGGGATTACAGGTGTGAGCCACCATGCCCGGCCCTCCCCTTCTTCTAGTAACAGAACTTTGGTTTTGCCTGAGCACATGGTCGCCTACCTAAAGACTATTTTCAGCCTTCCTTGCATCTTGGTGTGGCCAAGTGACTAAACCCTAGGTAGTGGGATGTGAGTGGACACACTGTCTTCCAGATGACGTATCATAAAAGGAATACTGCAGAGCTCTCCAGCCTCTCCCTCTTCCAGATGGCTGGAAGACAGCAATGGGAAAAAGCTTCCTGGACTTGGTTGAGGAAGGTAGAGTCAATCCACAGTGCTGGCCCACATATCTCCAAAGTGTTCTACCACCTGGAAATAAACATGTATCCTATTCCAGCCACCATACCTTTGGCTTTCTTTGTTAATGCAGCTGAACCTACAGCGTAACTGACAGACTTACCAAAACCTTTCATTTTACAGAGAAGAAAATAGAGCCACAGATGTTCAATGAATTCCCTTAGGTTACACAGGTTATTGGCAAACCAACAATTTGAAACCAATTCTTCTAATTCAAGGCTCTTCCTAAGCTCACATACTGATCAGGGATATGTCTACGTATCAGGCAACTTCTGGGACCCTGGAGAAGACTGAGCTACTCACTCTTTATGGAACACTAAAGTTAAGCCATTTGATTTCCAGTTCTTTTTTTTTTTTTTTAAATGTGGGTAAATAGAAAAGGCATATTTTTAAATTTTAGAATATTTAGTTGACAAATACAAATTATATATATTCAAGGTATATATGATCATTTGTTATAAATAGACATTGTGTACTGAATTCCAAAGTCGAAATAATTAACACAACCGTCACTACCCATAGTTACTGTGTGTGTGTGTATATGTGTGAGGGTGGTGAGGACACTTAAAATCTGCTCTCATCAAATTTCAAGTAAACAACGCAGTATTACTAACTATAGTCACCATGTTAAATGTACATTCCATCCCCAGCATTCCTTCTTCTTGCATAAATGAAGCTCTGTACCCTTTGAGTAACATCTCCCCATGCCCCTCACACCCCCAGGCCCCAGCTTCTATGAGTCTGACTTCTGTAGATTCCACATGTAAATGAGATCACGTGGTATTCATCATTTTGTGTCTGGCTTATTTCACTTAACCTAATGTCCACCAGGTGCATGCATATAGTCACAAATGGCAAGGTTTCCCCTTGTTTTTTAAGGACTAAATAGAATTCCATTGTGTATATTTTCTTTTCTTTAAAAACATTTTTTTTTTTAAAAAGAGACAGGTCTTACTCTGTTATCCATGCTGGAGTGCAGTGGTGCCATCATAGCTCATTGCAGCTTTGAACACCATGGCTCAAGTGAGCCTCCTGCCTCAGCCTCCTGAGAAGTTGGGATTATGGGCGTGAGCCACTACATACCAAATTTTCTCTGTCCTCTCACCTGTCGATAGGCACTTAGGTTGATTCCCTATCTGGGCTACTGTATAATTCTGCAGTGAGCATGGAGCGCAGGCATCTCTCTGAGATCCCGATTTCAATTCCTTTGGATACATACCCAGAATGGGGGACTGTTAGATCATATGGTAGCTCCATTTTTAACTTTTTCGGGCACCTCCATGTTTTCCATAATGGCTGTATTAATTTACATTCCCACCAACAGTGCACAAGGGTCCCTTTCTCCACACCCTCACCAACTCTTGCTGTCTCCAGAGTTTTCGGTTAACAGCCATGATATCTCATTGTGATTTTGATTTGCATTTCCCTGATAATTAGTGCTGTTTCTAGTTCTTTGACTTAAACAGAGATCCTTCTGAGAGAAATACAATTAGTCATTTTCTATGGTAGGGAGAAATACAACATAAGACAAAGAGGCCAGAACTAAGGCAAAGAGGACCTGTGTTCTGGCACTGGCTCTGCAGTGTTGTGGCTGCATTATCTAGGGTAAACACGCCCATGGGACTCTGCCTGGATCTCTACTGAGCCACAGGACACTGAAATTATCCATTTGCAGGTCTGCCTTCCCTTGTCTAGGCCGTCTGTCCTGGTCTGGGCTGGCGGGTAGGCATTACACCTTCCTTTGTGTCAGGAGAGAGGATGCCTGGGACATGGCAGGCTTGCTGGTGAACACACAAGTCATTCGGATCTGTTTCCTCATCATAAAAGGAGAAACTGGACAGGACCAGAGACCTTTAAGCTTTTTTGAGGAACAGGTGTTTTCCATTCCTTGAAAGCTTTGAGCTCGCTGCAAGGTACTGAGTACTCTTAGCCCTACTCACTAAATGTCATATGCTCACCCCAGCCCTTTTGTCAACCAAAGTGAAACACCTCTCCCCCTTTCCAAATGTACCTAAGACCGTTGGACTGCAGCACCCAGTTGGGAAGCAATAGGTTAAGTCTTTCCTGTGGCAACCTTCAGATTTCCTCTGAGTTACAGTCAGAGGGAGAAGCAAACGGCAAGGCAAGCAACAGAGGGTTTGAAAGAAAGTGC